>NC_000011.10:79843574-80146605 GCF_000001405.40 Homo sapiens
GAGCCATGCAATGCTCTACTTCCATAGACAATCCACTGGCTGGAGAAGATCACATGGCCAAGTCTGCAACACTGTGATGGGGAGACAATGGGGGTGTATAGCCCTCTCACAGGAGCTGAACACCGCGGGCAGTAACACAACCTACTACCCAAGTATTACTCCAAGTATAGTGTTCTTCCCATTCCACCATATTGTGTAGAAGTTTTGTAAACTGTAGAGTGTTATACAAAATGGGTTATTCACAATATTGATTACACATTTATGAAATCATAGGTTTCAGTTTTTGTTTTACCTTTAAATACTATGCCAAAATGTATATAAAAGCAAAATTTCATTATGGAGATGAATAAGTCTCAGGGCCTATCTGAAACCTAATTTCAGAAGGCCTTTTTTATGCCTACTGAAGTAAATATGCTCAAATCTATTTGTAAAATTTATATTTATTATGAAAATTGTGATCAATCATGACTACATAAGTCACTTGGGCTAAAGAAACCCACTATGTCTGGCCATATTTACCCAGTGATTTCAGCGAAAGCAAAGAAGTTCACCTCTCTCCCTCCTTACCCCATCATCCTTCAGACCCAGTCTCAGCACAGACCCTACGCTGCCATCATCCCTCCTGCCTTCTGATATACATCCCAAGGGTTTATGAGAACATGCATAAAACACATTAGACTTTCTGATTATGTATTTAGTATTCCAACTATCCTAATTTAAGCATGTGGAGAATGACTTGTTATTGGGGAAAAGAAGCCACTGAGGAATTTTCTGTCTCTACAATAATAAATTCAGTAAATACAATAACATATTGTACTAATTCAAGGAGCTCAAAGCATTTCCAAAGACAGGAGCAACATCCCAGTGAAGGCAAGAATATAGCCTTACATTCTAGCTGGGCTATTACTCTAGCACCATCCTACAAAGCACCCCCTCCATCACACACACACTTACACACACACACTTACACACACACACACACACTCTTATTGCAAACATACCCTAGGCAAGTGTGTTAAACATCATTTCACTCCCTGGTGGAAGGCACAACTACTAGCAGTTGTCTTAAAGTGAACATGGCTTTGAAAAAAGAACAATTTGGTAAGGGAACTAATATTTAATAATGCAATGGGTATTTTGCTCAGGGCTTTGCATATGTATTGAAGGCTATTTTATCTTTTCATGTCTCAGTTTCCCCACATGTATTAGTAACAATAAAAAATAATCAATTGCTTTGAGTTGCAATTCTCTCATCTTTATAATAAGAATAATGATACTTAATTCAAAGACCATTAAAATATATAAAGATATACAAATGCCTGACATAGCTGCTGGTACAGAGAAAGCTCCTGTGATGGCCAATTTTGTGTGTCAAGTAAACTAGGCCCAAGTCTCCATTTATTCAATCAAAAACTCATTTAGGTCTTGCTGTGAAGGTATTTTGTAGTTACGATTAACATCTACAACCAGTTGATTTTAAGTAAGGGAGATTATCCTAGCTAATTCAGGAAGGCAGGAATCAATCTGTTGAAAGGCCTTAAGAGCTGAGCTGAGGCTTCCCTAAAGAATAAATTCTACCAGTGGACAGCAGCTTCAGCTTGTACCTCAGCATTCTAGACTGCCCTCCCTGATAGCCTGTGCTTCCAATTTTGGACTTATCTAGCCAGCCCCCACAATGGGCTCCTCAGGAGATGGTGAGGTCCCTATCACTGATGAATGTAAGGGGAGGCTAGGCAACCACTTGAACGTGATGCAGAGGTGATTCAAAAAGCAAGTTGTGATTAGCTTTGAGGGATTTTAAGTTTCTTTCCAACTGAAGTCCTGGATTCCATTTGCCAATTGTTCCTATTAACATTCTTGGGGAACCTAGGCTCAGAAGAAGGAAGGGAGTCCAATAGCTAAGAATAAATACAAAACAATGGTCCAGAAATGTTAGGTATGTGAACACTGCTAAACTCAGACGTCTGCTTTGGCAGTATAGTAGAGCAGACACCCTGAAAGGTCCTACTTTAAAACAACTAGATGCTAGATAAAATATTCCATTTAAAGATATTGCTTGCTTTTAAGGAATTAAAGAGAAAACTCCAAGACCTACTAATTCCCCCAAATTGAAGAAATCAAAATATGAGATGTTCTGCCAAAAAATGTGTACTTTTACATTTGACCAAAAAGGGGTCAAATGTAAAATGACAGAATGGTGAGGACATTGGCAGGAGAGCTTATGTGTAGGCAGTGTGGTCTGTCTCTAAAATCAGATACAAGCAGAGTCATATTTCAGCTCTACAGATAGTATTTTAACCTGAGGGGCTAAATAAGAACAAATAAACAGATCTAAAGGAAATGAGAATAAATAAAGTAATCCAAACACTGAGTCTTGGAGCCTCCAACATTCAGACTGAGGAGATGAGGAGGAACCAGCCCTGGAGCCTGGGAAAAAGAAGGTAAGAGTAAATCTAAAGAAGGTGGTGATCTGGATACTAAATGATGAAAGCATTTCTGGGAAGATAGAGTGATCATTGGAAACAAATGCTGTGATATTTTAAGTAAGTTTAAGTCTGAAAATTGATTATTCTATTTAGTAATATGGAATAATTGGTGATCTTCAGTAAAGCAGTTGCTGTGGCATATTTGGGTGTGAAAGCCTAATTGGAGAAGGTTCAAGAGTAAATGGACAGAGGAACAAATGTAACCATACTGCAAAAAAGCAATGAGCCACATCCAAGTTGTGGGGCATTATACAGAACAGAAGCCTGGTTTCTTCAAATAAGTGAATGAGAGAGAAGAAGGTGGAGGGTGGGGTACGTTTTAGCTTAAAGAGAATGAAGACACATCACAACCAAATAAAAACTATAGCCCTTATTTGCATTCTGATTAAAACAAACTAAAAAATTAGACAAACTTACATATGTGACTGATTATTAGATAATATTAAAATTTGTGGCATATAAAAAATGTCCTTTTTATTATTTTTGATACATTATTGATATAGACAGGAGACAGGGAAATACTGGGTAGAAGAGGGTGGTTCCCCAGCAAAGGCCTCACTCTCAAGCCTGGAAACCTGCGGCCCTAAATGGGAATAAGCATTCCTATTTTCACGCCTCAAAGTTGCCTTTTGGCCCACCATGGACCCCTATCCTGTACCCATATAAGCCCCAAACCCCTGGATCTAGAAAGAGAGCAGCAGACCATCAAAAGAGTGGTAGAGAAGGAGAGAAGAGACGGAACATTGGGAGGAGTTTAGCTGGAGACGGTTGGAAAATTGGCCACTGGATGGCCAAACTCCAGGGGAAGATCATTGTCCCACTCCATCCCCTTTCGAACTCATCTAGCCCACTGAGAGTCACCTCCACCACCCAAGAAACCCCCAGCATTCACCATCCTTCGAGTCTGTGTGTGACCTGATTCTTCCAGGATGCTTGACAAGAGCTCAAGATACAGAAAGCTGTCACACTGGCCCTCTGCCCTTGCAAAAAGGCAGAGGGTCCACTGAGCTGGTTAACACCTAAGCTATCCTTGGATGGCAAGGCTAAAAGAGCAAAATGTAGCACACGCTGACTTGGGATCCAGGAGTTTCAGGCTACCACCCCTTGATGCTGCCATGGGGAAGGAGCCCAGGGGTGCTTGCCCTGGTTCCTGGACCCGTCAGTCTGTGTGGTCCCCCTCCCATAAGGGGTTTGAATAGTGCTGATGACCAAACAGACAAGTCACACCCCTGTTGCATGTTCTGCAAAGAGGGAGAGAGAACTCATTTCATTATGATGTACTTGTGGGACAAAATGACATGCTCTTTGGGATTTGCTTTAGACTCCAGGAATAAAAGCAGCGGGCATGGGGACTTATGCTCTCTACTGTTATGAATATTTGAAAATTGACATAATAAAAGTTTAACAGAGAGAGAGAAAATACAAAGTACTTTAATTTTATCTCTACTGGAATCAAAATGCTGTTTAGGGCCAATGGTAGGTAGGATCAGAGTGGTCCCAAGCAGAAGGAAGTACACATCCTTGGGAAGAAAGGGTCCCAATAAAGGCCAGGATTTCCACAGATTAAATGCAATGAAATGTAGAATCTCAATCAAGCATCACCAGACACCCAGAAAAAGATCCACTGTAAATTATTTCTCTGCTGGAGAAGTTACCCTGAATGCAGCAGAGAGACAGGAATAAAATAGGGAGAGAGGTAAAGGGATATGGAAGTCATAATCAGTATCATCTAATATACACTGGGATGCCAGAAGAATAGATTGGAGAAGAAACATTTGAAGAGGAAATGACTGTAAATTTTTCAGAATGAATGAAAGATATGAATTCACTGATACAGGAAGCATACAATTTATCAAGCAGGATAAATAAAAAGAAACCGACATCTACCCATGATGACATGAAAATGCACAATACCAAAGATATCAAGATCTTAAAGTAACCAATGGGAAGAAAAAAACCAGGTCACTTATGAGGGAGCTACGAGTAGGCTGATAGAAGAAATGATGGAAGCCAGAATATGTTGAAATAGTAACTTTAAAATGCTGAGATCAAATGAATCTCAACCTAGAAATATGTGCCCAGAAAAACTATCTTAGGTTGAGGATAAAATAAAATAGTTTTAGAGAAACAAAAGCAGAGCTTACTGAAAGCTGAGCAACAGTCCTTAATTAAAGGACTTAATTAAAGTTGTAATTTAGTAGAAAACAAAATGAACTTCCAGGGAAGTTATGAGAAAAACAAATGGAAGCACATAAATTGATAAATATGTAGATAAATCAACAGAAATAGTCTGTATAGAATAATAATAAAGTATTATTTAAAGAGTTATACATTACCAAACCAAAATAGTATAACATGTAAATTAGCTGAGTGGAAGTGACTGAAGTTAAAATACATGCAGTTGTCTTGAAGATTAAAATATTAATGTTACACTGTGTTACACTTGGTGAAAAAAAGCAACTACTTAAGAATAGATAAAGAATATGTATGTTCCAAAGTAGTGTTTGTTGAGGGGGATGTGGAATAAGTAAATAAACCAACCTATCAGCCAACCAACCAACTGCTTCAATCAAAAAACAAAAAGCAAGAAAGTGGAAGTTTTGAAAAATAGGACAAATGGAAAGCAAAAATGAGATGTTAAAACAAGTCTAATCTCCAATGTGTATAACTTCAGGTATTCATCTTAAGGAAGAAAATATTACTGAGAACAGAAAAGGTTACCTGATAACAAAAATTCTTCACTAGAAATATATAACAATCCTAGCCTTGTATGCATATAACAAAATATTTTATACACGTATCTGAATAATTTTAAATGTATAAGGCAAAAGTTGATAGAAATATATCAAAAAATTGACAATTCCATCATAGCGACAAAATTGAATATACTTCTCTCAATTTTTGATAGATGAAACAGAAACCCTACCCAAAACAACAAAATGTAGAATATCTAGCCAACAATTAAAAAGTTTTATTTAAAAGACATATATAGACCCTTCTACCTAGAAAATTAGCCAATATGCATTATTCTCAAAAACCCATGAAACATTTACAAACCTGATCATGTATCAATCTATATAAAGCAAATCTCACTGCATCAGAAAAAGTTAATATTATACTGACCATATTGTCTGATCTCAATACAATTAAAAGTCACTAAGGAGATGTGTAAATATAAAATCCCCACACATTTGAAATTAAAAATAAAATGCTTCCAAATAACTTATAGGATAAGAACAGACAATAGAAATTATATATATATACACACACACATACACATATACACATGTAATTAAAATCCTACATATAAAATTCTACATATAAAAATTTGCAGGTTACAGCCAAAGTGGTACCACACTTTACTTTTAGATGTTTACCTTCAGTAAACAGTAAAGTACCACCTTAAGTAAAGTGGTACCACATTTTACTTTTAGATGTTTACCTTAAAGAAAAAAGGCTTAAGGGTGTAGTGGTGGGTGCCTATAGTCCCGCCTACTAGGGAGGTTGAGGCAGGAGAATGGCATGAACCCAGGAGGCGGAGCTTTCAGTGAACTGAGCTTTCAGCGCCACTGCACTCCAGCCTGGGCAACAGAGTGAGATTCCGTCTCAAAAAAAAAAAAAAAAAAAAAGAAAAAAAGGAAAAAAGAAGGCTTAAAATGAACTAGCTAATCATTTAATTTAAATGTTAGAAAAAGTATAGTAGACTCCATTGGAAAGCAGAAAGAGGGAGATAAGAAAAATAATACATACTAATATAGAAAAAGAAAGCAAAGACACGCTAGAGAAAATAAGACTAAGTTTTTGAAAAGACCAATTAAATAGATACAACTGTCAGATTTGATCAAGGAAGCTACATAGTAAGCAGCACTTAAAACACTGTGAATGAAATCCAAGACATAATTACATATAAACGACATATCAATATGAACAACTTCATGACAATATCTTACTAATCTCAGAGAGTGGAGTTGGTTATTATCCTTATTTTGTAGATAAACCTAAGGCTAATCACATACCACTCCCCTTATGGACTTCGTGACTTTTTCCAGGGTAAGCAGAGAATAAGTTGAAAAGCCAAATTCCAAACCCAGTTTTAAAATCACAATCTCTTGCTTATGAATGACAAACAACTCTCCCAAACTATCTGGCCAAAAATATATATAATGTAACTAAAAGAAGTTGTAATGGGGATCATAAAATAATTGCTTGAAATATTTAAGCTAACTTGGAGCAAGAGAAAGGGTGAAAAGATTGGAGTAATGCCACAGGACATTCTCCTGACTTCATCTCCTTTCAAATCTTCTGAATTTCATCATTAAAAGCTCTCTACAGTTTTTCATTATCAAGTCCTCAGATGTAGTCTCCTGCCAAACCACACTCTTAACTCCTCTCTTTCCAGTTTCTTTGCAGCCCGCCTGGTTTACGTATAGTGTTTGAAATTCTTCAGTTCATCAGGTATGCAAATAAGGCCTCATTTGAAGGCGCCAAAAGTCACAATGGACATAGCAGGTAACTTAATGGAATGGTCCATAAAAAAAAAACCTTAGACATATTGCTAGTGGCCAGAGCTGCAGAAGGTAAGCTTGTCTTTAGTGGGGGCATAGATGAACTGAAGGGAATGACGGAGCTTAATAACCTAGTCTTTGCTGGACATTAAGTCATCAGGTGGTCCTGTGAGAAAAGCTGGACAGAAACTGTTGAGATAGGTATGAACAACTCTATGGTCCATTCTGAAGGTCTGATTGGGAATTACGAGGAGTTCAAGAGGTGCGGCTTATGTACAACCGTACACATCTTGGCTTCCTCTCCAAGCATCCTTACTTAGCACAAGGGGAGGAAGGACATACTCACTGAGCAGCTCCTATGTGGAAGTGCATTACACCCTTGTGTACAGTAACCCTATAGCAACCTTGTGGGGCAAGCTCTCTCAACCCCATTTCATGGGTAAGGAAATGGTAGCTTAGAGGTAGAGTACCTTGCTCAAGGACTCACAAAGAGTAGAGTCAGATTCATGATTTCATTCTGGCTTGAAAGGCCATACTCAGAAAATTACATGTCTTTTATATCACAGAGCCCATCTAAAAGTTGATACATCACTTCCTCCTCCTCTTTGTCATCCATTTCTTCTCCCAAGCTCCCAGTCCTCATTCAGATCAAGGAATCTCCCAATTCTGATCAAACTCCCTGTCATCAAGACTTTAAACCTCCCCTTCTTTCCTTCACATGCATGTCCCAAATGCTTTCTACTCTACTTGGGGCATGTTTTTCATATTTGTCTTCCCTTTTCATTCTCACTCTCATAATCCAGAGGCACAGGACTTTTCTTCTGGATTGTAATGATTCTGTCCTTGTAGTCTTCCCATCAATTTCCAATGTCCCCTGTCCAGACAAGTCCTGCCATATCCATTCTTCCCATTGGACTGGTGATTCTCTGTGGTGCCCAAAGCATATAGGAATCACTTTAAGTGCGTTGTACAGTGTGTGTTTAGTTTGGGGGTGGGGGATCACTTCCATAAATTAACAGAGACATTCTTCTCTCATCCCACTGTTGAGAGTCCCTGACAGAGGTTTTTCTCTGCCTCTCCTCCCACAGGAAGAATTATTATCATCAGAAGCCTGTGATGCTGATAAAGTTCTTCATGTTCTTTGGGTGTGCTTGTGTGAATGAAGTGTTAAACCATTAAACCATAAACGACTTGAAGGAATATCTTCCATCTTAGATGTCTAGTGCCTAGTACAGCACCTAAAACACAATAGGTGCACCGTAAGTATCTTTTTAATAAAGGAGTGCCAGGTGCGGTGGCTCATGCCTGTAATTCCAGCATTTTGGGAGGCTGAGGCGGGTGGATCACGAGGTCAGGAGTTGGAGACCAGCCTGGCCAACGTGGTGAAACCCCGTCTCTACTAAAAATACAAAAATTAGCTGAGCGTGGTGGCGCACACCTGTAATCCCAGCTACTGCGGAGGCTGAGGCAGGAGAATCACTTGAACCCAAGAGGTGGAGGTTGCAGTGAGCCGAGATCATGCCACTGCGCTCCAGCCTGGGTGACAGGGTGAGACTCTGTCTCAAATAAATAAATAGATAGATAAATAAGCAAACAAGCTAGCAAACCATTAACTCTTTCAAGGCAGAGACTGTATCTTTTATCATGTGTACTTAGCCCATAGTTGGTGTTCAGGACAGGCTAACTGAAAAAATAAATACATAAATAAATGGTATAAATTTCACTAGTGTCTTCAGATATGTTTCACAATGCTGGCTTGATTCCCTTTTTCTTTTATTGTTTACAAGTAGAATAACTGAACTCTTCACCTTTGACATTCAACCTAGAATTCCAGATACTTAAGACTTTTAAAGATAGTAATGGGAACTGAAAGTTATTTTCTACATTCCAAAAAGGCTAACAAATAATGCATTTACTCATATGAAGGTCAATTAAAATGACAAATTGCTTTGCTTTTGGCCAGAATATATCAAATTAGTGTGTGGTAGCTTACTGTTGCACATTGTAAACCCTGATTGGCTGATATATGTCTTTGATTAATAAAAATAATGAGACAAATTAGTTATTGCTAAATAAATGCAGGTTACTTGATACGTAAAATCTTTCAAAGTGTGGTTTGTGTGGAAAGAAACACATTACAAGGGCATCTTTTCCTTCACCCCCTTAATAAGGGAGCAGGCATGAAAAAACAAGTGAGAGGTCCAAGCCATCTCAACCAGACTGATATATATATAATCAACCTTGGATTCTGAGAACTGGCTTTTAGTACTTTCCCTTAGATTTTGCAAATGGAATTTTAATTGGTTTCCTTGTTTTAAAACTCTGAGAGGAGAGTTGTCTTTATTTCGTCCATTTTTGAGAGCTAATGAGGCCCAGGGAGGTTAGGTGACCTTCCCGCAGCCATCAACCACACAGCCGTAAAGGGAACTCTCTTCTCCGTCCCAAGCCAACCACTTAGTTCACATGGATATTCTTTTTTCTTGATGTAATGAGGAGAAAAAAGTTCATGATGATTATTTAACCACTTACTCAACAAATATTTATTATGCACATATTGTGTGCCATTTGGGCTTTGAGATATCCAGCTAGGAGAATGGCAGATTATCAGAGGAGACAGGGGGAGGCTTGACAATGACACCAAAAAATCCCAAAGGGGGACTTCTGCCAAAATTCATCTCCCTGGATTACACCCTTACCTTTCTCCCATTCAATGGCTCTCTATTGTGTATCAGGGTTCAAATAATTTTTTTCTGGCATTTAAGGCATCCTGTAATTGGGCCCACATACATTTCCTTTACGATTTATTTATGGCCCATCATGCTCCAGCCACAGAGGGCCTGTGACCTTTTTTCAACACATCACCCACAGACACATCATTGTCCCTGCTCGTGCTGTTCCCTCAGGTTAGGAAAATTCAATCTTCAACCTCCAACTACTGAAACATACCCGTCTTCAGGTGAAATGCTTCCTCCTGCTTGTGTCTGTAAAGCTGTTCATTTTAGGTCTCTTTATACTTCAGACACTTGCAAGACTTTCTCTCTGATTAGACTAAGTTCCCTGAAGCAGGGCCAAGCCTTACTCATGTGTTTACCACTACAAAGTCTATCTTTAATCTTGACAACCTCCACAAATGCTGTGTGTTGACCCTGACTCTGTGCCAGGCATTGGTACCAAACACAATATATACTTTATCTTATTTAATTCTCATAGCAAACTATGATGAGAGTGCTATAGTTATTCTGGCTTCACGGATAATAGCAGAAGCTCAGTGTGGTTCTATTTTAGGACCCTTCTCCTAAAACTTTAGACTTCAATATACACATTCCTCAGTGAAGGAAAATGAAGGCAAAGCCCTAGAGATGGGGCTCCTTTCTTCTATCTGACCAATGTTCTTCAAGTATTACCTACAAGAAGGTCTAGGAGAGTCTTTGGGTACTTTCCAGAGTTAGAACCTGAGATCAAAAGGATAGAACCTGGGATCTTCAAAGCAAGATAGTGAAGTTAAAAGGATGGTAAGTGAGAACATGCCCTAAACCCAACAAAGGGACTTTGGGAGTCCTCATAAAGAAATGAAAGGAAAACATGATTGTTTCCTCTGATCCTCTGTCTACCTGTGATTACAATGGGCTCTGATGATATCTTTGATCATGATGAGACTGTGACAGTACTGTGATTGTCAGAGATTGCAAAGTGGATTTAGGATTTTTGATAGACTTGTCAATGCATCTGCTTTATCAGGTAGTTTCATTCCCTTATCACAGTGACCTAAGTGTTATAGGAAAGCAGACTAGCGTCACTGTAGACATGTCATAGTAGAGGACATGTCAGTAGAATCCCACAGTAGGCTTTCTGCAAGGCTGTTCTGTATCAGGTCTGATAATAATAGATTGCTGTCTTTTAGCTGTGAAATTGTGTTACAACCAAAACAAGAATTATGCGTGTTCAATGTCAGAATTTGAAACAGAGGTGCAGATTTGTTGAGTGACTTGCCCCAGGTCACACAGCTCATCACAGAGAGATTGGAGAGCTGTATATTGGATTCCTGGTCCCATGTCAATGTTTTCTTCATACAACATCATTCCTGTTGAATGTCTGTGGATTTGGGAGTACATTTTCATTTCAAACTCTAATCATGACAGAGAAAACATGTTCCCTTTTCACTGCATAGTCCAAGCTTACAGCTAATGAGCAAATACTGTTATTTTTCCTCAACTGTGTTTCATGCCGGAGATATCACACTATCTACTTTATTGGTTTAAATTATTCAGCTCTTAATTATCATATTATGAATGTTTAATTTTTGTCCTGATATTGTCAGAAAGTAAACGTGCCCTTGCACCAGTGGGCTTTGGTCCTGAAATGTGGTTCCACATTCACTACACCAGCAAGAGCAATCTCTTCTACAGAGGCCCTGGGACTGTGCAGTGCTTGTCTAAGGATTCCCCAAAGCTGCACTTTCCTTCTGACCTAAAAGTCAGTGATTAAAGCAGGGAGTTGCTAACTTTTGGCATACCTGGGAAAATAAAAGTCTTAAAATAATTTCCAGGGAAACAGGAAGTAATTTCAAGAAATGGGGACCTCGTTTTGTAATTTATTTGTAATATATATAAGTTAAGTTTCCCTTTAATTAAGGAGGAAGAACAGTTGAGAAATTTTGCTGCAAAGCAAATAGTCTTTTACTATATCGTAATAATGATCATGTGTCCTGTGTCATTTTTCCACATCCGCAGTCTCTGTGACAGGATTCCCCTCACACAACTCTTTCTCCATATTTGAACAATAATAAGATCTTTATTCTGACTTCTAAATTTTCCAAATCTATCTTCTCATTATTCTCACCACTGTTTTCCTAGTTCTTGCTCTCATGATTTACTATGCAGACAGTTGCACTATCTTTCTAGTAGGCTTTCCTTTGTGGTTATTTTGAAGCCCCCCTCTGCATGACCACCAGAGTGATCTAAGTCTAAATTCTGACCACATTAGTTCTCTGCTTAAAACCCTTCCACAATGCAGGATCCTTCAGCAGTAGCTTTCAAACTGTCCCACAGAAGGGTCCATAATGACCAAAGAGAAGAAAGCATGTCCGAGTGGCTGGGGTCTGAGCCTGAGCTGGCCTGCCATGAGTGCAATGTTTCTTTGCAGTTGATCTCAAAAATTGTCAAGAATCTTACATCCCAACAATTACATGGGTTTTTATTGTAAAAATCATACCTTTTATCAGAACTCACAAAATTGGCACTCTAGGAGATGGTCCAAATCTATCCCTGGACTTTGTAGCCCCTCTGAAAGGCCACCTCCTTATCCTCAGGCATACGTGTGTGTGTGTGTGTGTGTGTGTGTGTGTGTGTGTGTGTGTGTGTGTGTGTGTGTCTGTGTGTGTATGTATGTTAGTTTTAAGAGACCTGTGAAATTATTATTTTTTTCTTTTTTCTTTTTGAGACGGAGTCTTGCTCTGTCGCCCAGGCTGGAGTGAAGTGATGTGATCTCGGCTCACTGCAACCTCTGCCTCCCAGGTTCAAGCAATTCTCCTGCCTCAGCCTCCCGAGTAGCTGGGACTACAGACATGATGCCATCACATGCTAATTTTTTGTGTTTTTAGTAGAGATGGGGTTTCACCATGTTAGCCAGGATGGTCTCGATCTCCTGACCTCGTGATCTGCCCACCTCAGCCTCTCAAGAAATTATTCTTATGTGACAGAAACAGAAGGAAAGAGCAATTTATTGAGACTAAATGCCAGGCACTGTTAGACCCTTTCCTTAATGGACCTCATGTGTTGTTCAACCTCCCCTAGATGATGGGGGTGTTATCCTTATTTTACAGATGAGGGAATTGAAGCTTAGCTATATCATGCACTTCGCACAGAAAAATGACAGAAGGGAAATATAGCAAGTAGCTAACAGCAGTTATGGGTGATTTTAATTTTTGTTTCTTATATTTTTTATCTTTCCGAACTTTCTACAATTACCATGAATTGTTCTTCCTAAAAGAACTAATATAAACTATATGAAAAGATTAAATGAGATAATCCATATGAGAGTCCTTAGCACAGTGCTTGGTAAATCAATTTTATTCTCATTCCTTATTCATCTTTGTATCCATCACAGCATCCAGCACCCATACTCCTAATTAAGAGCCAATAAAGCCAGGTTCCACTCAATTGGATTAACAATTCAACTGAAGATTATTTTAGTGTTATTTCCTCCAATAATAAATCTGCAACCATAAATTACATACACATGGGATCGGCTGGTTAAAATACATCTCATTAAGCTAAGTTTAAGACTTTTGGTTAGCCAGTCAAAATATAGTACCTCGCATTTATTAAGGTTTTACTATGCAGAAGATTCTATGCTTTGTGCTTTAAGGGTATCATGTTTTTAGTCACGTCAACAATTTTATGAGATCGCCATTATTATGATCCCCAGCAATGGAAAAGTAAATAACACGCCCCAGTTTACCTGACCAGTAAGTCGAAGAACCAAAATTCATACCTGGTGACAGTGGACTCCAAGTTCCTCCTTTAAAATCCTCATGCTAGGCTGGAGCCTAAGGTTTGTTGGCATTTCCACACAAGCATTTCTGATTTTAAACATGCTCTATGTCACTGACTGCCTGCTATGGATCAGACACTTTGATTCACCTTGTTTTATCCATATAATAAAATGTGCCTCACTGGGTCTTTTCACATATGAGATAACAAGATTTAACAATTTGCCTAAAGTCCCACAGTAAGGGGCAGAGCTGGGATTTACAAGCAGTTTTGACCCAAAAGCCTTCTGATTTTTGTTGCTGGGTGCTGTCTCTATGTTTGTACAGTGCTATAAAGCTCCAGAATGCTCAATGCACACACCAGATCCTTAAACACACTTGTAATACAATACCAAACCCAGTTTAAGCATTAGATTTGCCTTTAGCAAAATTCATCTTTCACTCTGCATGGAAAGCCTCTCAGTGCCTGTAAAAGAAGTGCCGGGCCTGCTCAGAAGCAGCTCATTTGTCTCCAGTCTCTGCAGTTCCTGTCCACTGCAGAGGTTTATGGCTGCCAGTCCACTACGGGGCCTGCTGCCCGCTGAGCTTGTCTGTTTCACTACAGTAGGCAAATGGACTCTGCAGAACAGAACACACTGATTCTCTCCTCCACTATTGATATGCAACACACCCATGACCTAGAAAATAGATCTGAATTCCAACTATAATTTATAGACCCTGGCCCTGTTGGGATGAAACAGAAAATAAATAGACCCTCAGGAAGTTATTTGTTGGGGACTTGATGGCTTGACACGGATGCTCATGGCCCTGTCCAAGTTCACGAGCCCATGCCGGGGCTATTATGCCTCCAAGGAAACAGATGGGGCTAAGTCAAGGAGAATGAGAAGATGGGGCTGGTGGCAGCTAGAGGGGAGGAAAGGAGGACTCGGAAGCCACAGGCTTATAGGAGGATGAATCATGCTTTTCATCTGCTTGTGCATAAAAGCTGATAAATGGATCCTCCTGAGATACGTAGTAAACGGTCAGTCCCACCCAGTCAGTTCCTGTGGTCCTCTGGACTAGGGCTGTGCACTTTGGGGGTGGAGAAGGGTGGGATCTGGAATTTCTTAAAGTGCCTTAGAACTGCTTGAGGGAAACCCTAAGCTCACAGAGTTGCGGCCCACTCTCAGTCCTGTGGCTAGCTTCTATCTCAGTTCCTTTCACCATAGCTCCCTTACTGGGAATAGCTCCCTTACTGGGAATAGAGCCCCACTGCAGGTTCAGAAGTGCCCTGATTGACTCAGCAAGCACTGTCCTTTGGGCCAGGTCCCCAGAAAAGCATTCCGCTCTAAGACAGACTGACTACTTACTCAAGGAAGTGCCACTCACCTGTCTCCAATACCACCGACTTGCACACAAGCTTCCCACTGCCAAGCCTTACCCCAAAAACCTAACCTTATCCCAGGTCTGGATGTTTCTCAATCATGTCCTGATTTGCTACATCCCTTTGGACACTCCTTTATATTGCTACCTACCTGTTTAATCTTTTTGTATCTATGTCCTTCTTATCCTGTCTTCTTTCATTTCCCTGCCACACTTTTTAAATTGAAGACTACGTCTGCATTGAACTTGAACCTATAAAAATATCTTAGAGTCTTGAAGACATTATGAAGACCCATTGATGACCATTGAGTGTGGGTGACTAGATGTGGGGGCGAAAGAAAGAGGTAAGACAAATACAGCTCCTGTAATTTTAGCCTAAGACACTGAAAAGGGAGAAAACCGGGAGTAGAGGAGATTTGGTGGTGATGTGGACGGAATTTAAGAGTGCAATTTGGGATATGTTAAATCTGAGATTATTTTATAATTTCCATAAGTGGGAGTTGCAGAATTAGTTGAATTTTTGGGTCCAGAGTTCAGAGAAGAGGTCTAGGCTGCAGATTTAAATGTGGAAGACATCAGGTGTACATGGCATTTAAACCCTTGTGATGTGATGTGATGTGATGAGTCCATCTATATAGGGAGTATATAGAGTAAAGAGGTTCTGGGCCTGAGCACTGCAAGTTATAAAGATTTCTGAAGGTAAGGAGGACTCAAAGGAGAACTATAAAAGGCATACAGAGGAAGCAAGGCAGGAGCTGTGCTTCCTTGAATTATAAGAGCTTCCGTTTCCTGAATGACACCTCTACTGTGTCTTCCAGGTGCCAGTGCTTTGCTTGCATTTCCTTAGTCCTCACAAATAACTGGCAAGGGGGATATTGCTCCCCTCGTTTTCCAGGGAGGTAACTAAGACTGGGAGAAGTAAAATGACTTGACCAAGGTTACATAATGGGAAATGGAAGAAATGGGGCTTAAAATTAAGTCTGGCTGGCTGGGTAGAATTTGATGAGTGAAAAGAGGAGCAAACATTTCTTGAGTTCCGAGTGCCTGGTAATAATTAGGCAGTAATACTTCAGGCATCATGCTAGGCATGTTTATATACTCGGTCTCACTTAATCCTCACAACGTCCCTGTAAGGTCAAAACAGTTAGCTTTGTTTTTCTGGTTGAGAAAATTGTGATGTGGAGAAATTTAGTAATCTGCCCAAGGTTTCATAGCTAGTGGAGCCAGGACAAGAATTCATGCCTCTCTGGCTACCAAGCCTGCTCTCTCTTCATTATTCCCTCTTTATGCTGAGAGCAGTAGAGAAAAAGGCATGAATGTGCACTTCCCTGTGGGTCCTGAGATGTGTAAGAACTGTGACATGTACCAGCCAATGTGACCAGAGTAGTCTACACTCCAGGGGCTCTTCCCATTCTTTTCTCTGCTCGCCCAAGGTTCTGACTCTTCCAGAATCTGCTTCACACTGAGCTGGCATCCTGAACAGATATGGGCAAGGCAGAAGTGCCTCATCTGCCAGGACCTTTTCACAGCTGATTTGTTAATTGGGACAAGCACTCACAAAAGCACTGATTTGATGTCAACTAAATTATCTGGCACTCACAACCCAAATTAAAGATTTGAAGTGCATGGTTGGCATTGGAATGATGCACTCCTTCCTCTCACAATAAATGACCTGGAGTTTCCCATACGATGGGAAGCAAAGGAAAGTGACTCTGTGACTACTACTCTGTGACTCCAGCTACCATGTTCCAGGTACGACAATAACTGTGTGTGTGTGGTACAATCACACTGAGGATAAAGGGTTACAATCCCCATTTTACAGATGAATAAACTAAAATAAACAAAACTCAGATCAAGTACAGTTCTCAAGGTTCTATGACTAACAAGCAGCAGGATAAGGAGTGAGACACAGAGCAACAATATAATTATTTTAAATCTATTTCTCTGTTTTTTTTTTTTTTTTTTTTTTTTCCGAATATTGAACAAAAGGAAAGTAAAGAACCTAGGAGAGAGGATGACATCGTACTTTGTTATGGCAACAGAATCACTTCGAGGAGAACCAGGAAGTACTATGTGGACCTTTAGAGCAGTGCTTCTCAAAATGTAATGTACACATGGGTCACCTAGAGGTCTTGTTCAAGTGCAGATTCTGAATAGGTCTGGGAGGGCTTGCTCTTCTGCATTTCTAAGCTCCCTGCTGCAGGTCAAAGTTAAGAGAGAGAGAGAGAGAGAGAGTAAGTACTCACTAAACAAAGGATAATGTGAGGGCTGGGTGCAGTGGCTCACACCTGTAATCCTAGAACTTTGGGAGACCAAGGCAAGTGGATCACCTGAGCTCAGGAGTTCAAGACCAGCCTGGCCTACATGGGAAAACCCCATCTTTACAAAAATACAAAAATTAGCCAGGCACAGTGGTGTGCACCTGTAGTCCCAGCTATTTGGGAGGCTGAGGTGGAAGAATCGTTTGAGTCCAGGAGGCGGAGGTTGCAGTGAGCTGAGATCATCACCATTGCACTCCAACGTGGCTGACAGAGCAAGACCCTGTCTCAAAAAAAAGAAAAAAAAAAAAAAAAGGATAATAGGAGAATGTGATGTTAAGTGTGATTTAATCCTCACAAACTCCCAGTGCGTTATACAAGCCCAGAGAGCATTTAGTTCTAATTCGGAGTGAGGGAAAGGATAAGAGAGGCTGTGATTTCCTTCATGTTAGGCACACACCCGGAAGAGTTGAGTTGCCAGCCAAGGACTCCTGACATTAAACTCTTCATGCATTGTTCTCCACTGCCCATTCTGCCTTCCATTTAGAAGATGTGGATGTTGAAGCCACAGACAGGAAAATCCCGAAAGTATTTTATAGAAAAAAAAATTCTCATACTGTGTTTATAAACCTAAAAATGCAAACAAGATGGTACTTTAGGAAGAAAGTTTCAGACCAGTAGTTAGCAGAGAAAGGAACTAAGACCCCTGAGATAACAAAATAAATGAATAAATCAGAAAGGGCTAAGTCCCGTCTTCACCTAGGAAATTAGACATTATTCTTAAATTAGAAAGACTGTTTTTGGGGCATGGAGAGTATGGGCAGGCATTGCCTCCTCTGCCTCTTGATAAATGAACAAGGAGTGTGAAGGGCTGTGTTTGACTTGCTGAATGCCTATTTAAGCCTCTTGGTGGAATGAAAACAGAGAACATGAGACAGGGATGGGAAAAGTGTGTGGCTGGTTGAAATAAGCACATGTGGTTGAAAGAGACATATTGCTGTTTGGTTCTCCCCCAACTGGCTGTGTGCCTTTGAGCAAGGGACAGCACTTCTTTAAAGTGGTGGATGATCAGGATTTCTGTGGGAAAAAGTGAGCGTCACTGGGGAGAGCGGAGATGATTTAAAACATTAAAAATTTTCAACCCACTTTACATTATTTCTAATACTTTCTTATGAGATCAAGGAGAAAGGCTCACTTTGGTGCTGGTACATTTTCAAAATCATTCTATTTTGTGTGTGATCACTCATTACCTAATTTATATATAAATATATATATATATATATATTAAATAGACAACAGACTCACAACTTCAAGCAATGCTATCTATTGCATAAGATAATGATGTTATTGTATTTATTTTTATCTTTAGAGATACTGCTTTCCTGTTTTTTGCAGTGATATAATGTTTAAGTAAAAAAAAGTCAGTAGAATTTAAATACTAGCTAAATACTACAGATGATATTTGAATGAAGGAAGTTTGGGAAACACAAAACCAAGTGTTCTCTAAGGCCTTGCTATTCTAAGAGAAAAATGTACCAAGCAAACAGAAAACAGAAGAAAGCAGGAGTTGCTATGCTAATTTCAGACAAAACTGATTTTAAACCAACAAAGATTTAAAAAGACAAAGACAGACATTACATAATGGGAAAGGATTCAATTCAACATGAAGACCTAAATATCCTAAATATATATGCATCCAACACAGGAGCATCAGGATTCATAAAGCAAATTTCTAGAGATCTTTAAAGAGACTTAGATAACTACACAATAATATGGGGAGACATCAACCCCCCACTGACAGCATTTAACAAATCATCAAGGAAGAAAACTAACAAAGATATTCAGGACCTGAACTTGACACCTGGCCAAACAGACCTAATAGACATCTACAAAGCTTTCTAATCCAAAACAGCAGAATATACATTCTCCTCATTAGCATGCAGCACATACTCTAAAATCAACTACACAGTCAGACATAAAACAATCCTCGGCAAATTTTTTAAAAAGTGAAATCATACAACTATACTCTAAGACCACAGTGCAACAGAAACAGAAATCAATACTAAGAAAATTGCTCAAAATCATACAATTACATGGAAATTAAATAAACAGCACCTGAATGACTTTTGAGTTAATAATGAAATTAAGGCAGAAACAAAGAAATTCTTTGAAACTAATGAAAACAAAGATACAGCATACGAGAATCTCTGGGACACAGCTACAGTCACGTTAAGAGAGAAATTTATAATGCTAAATCCCCACATCGAAAAGTTAAAAAGATGTCAAATTAACAACCCAACATTACAACAAAAGGAACTATAGACAGAAGAGCAAACCAACTCCAAAGCTAACAGAAGACAAGAAATAACCCAAATCAGGCTGAACTGAAGGAAACTGAAGGAAACCATACAAAAGATCAACAAATCCAGGTGTTGGTTTCTTGAAAGAATTATTACAAAATAAGATAGACTGCTGGCAGGACAAATAAAAAGAGAGAAAATCCATATAAACTCAATAAAAAATGACAAAAAAGACATTACCGTTGACTCCACAGAAATTCAAAAAACCATGAGTGACTACTATGAACACCTCTATACACACAAGCTAGAAAACCTGGAATGCATGGATAAATTCCTGGAAATATACAATCATGTGAGAATAAACCATGTAGGAATTCAATTCCTGAACACACCAATAATGAGTTCCAAAACTGAATCAGTAATAAAAAGCCTACTAACCAGAAAAATCCCAGGACAAGGCAGATTCACAGCCAAATTCTGCCAGATACATAAAAAAGAGTTGGCATCATTCTGATATGGTTTGAATCTGTGTCACCACCCAAACCTTAGGTTCAATTGTAATCCCCAGTGTTGGAGGTGGGGCCTGGTGGGAGGTGACTGGATCATGGTGGCAGACTTCTCCTGAATGGTTTAGCATCATCCCTCTTGGTACTGTCCTTGTCATAGTGAGTGAGTTCTCATGAGATTTGGTTGTTTAAATGTGTGTAACACCTCCCCTCTCTATCTCTTGCTCCTGCTCTGGTCCTGTGACATGCCTGTTCCCCCTTTGCCTTCCAGCATGATTAGAAGCTTCCTGAGGCCTACCCAGAAGCAGATGCCTTTATGATTCCTGTGCAGCCTGCAGAACCATAAGCCAATTAAACCTCTTTTCTTTATGAACTACCGAGTCTCAGGTATTTCTTTGCAGAAATGTAAAAACAGCCTAATACACATTCCTACTGAAAGCATTCCAAAAAAACTGAGCAAGAGGGACTCCTATAACTCATTCCATGAGTCCAGCATCTCCCTGATACCAAAACCTGGCAGAGACATAAAAAAACAGGAAATTTCAGGCCAGTATCCTTGATAAACTACAGATGCAAAAGTCCTCAACAAAATACTAGAAAACTGAATAGAGAAGCACATCAAAATGTTAATCCACCACAAACAAGTAGGCTTTATTCCTGGGATGCAAGTTTGGTTCAGTATATACAAATCAATAAATGTGATTCATCACATAAACAGGACGAAAACCGAAAACCACATGATCATCTCAATAGATTCAGAAAAGACTTCTGATAAAATTCAACATCAATTTATGTTAAAAACCCTCAGCAAACTAACCATTGAAGGAACATACTCCAAAAAACAAGAGCAATCTATGACAAGCCCACAGCCAACATCATACTGAATGGACAAAAGCTGAAAGCATTACCCTTTAAAACTGGAACAAGGCATTGCTGGCAAGAAGGTCAAATAGTAACAGCTCTTGTCTGCAGCTCCCAGCGAGATCAACGCAGGTGCTTTCTGCATTTCCAACTGAGGTGCCCGGTTCATCTCACTGGGACTGGTTGGACAGTGGGTGCAGCCTACAGAGGGTGAGCCAAAGCAGGGAGGGGCATTGCCTCACCCAGGAAGCACAAGGGGTCAGAGAATTTTCTCCCCTACCCAACGGAAACTGTGAGGGACTGAGCCTGAGGAACTGTGCACTCCGGCCCAGATACGGCACTTGTCCCACAGTCTTCGCAACCCGCAGACTAGGAGATTTCCTCTGGTGCCTACCCCACCAGGAACCGGGATTTCAAGCACAAAACTGGGCAGCCATTTGGGCAGACACTGAACTTGCTGCAGGAGTTTTTTTTTTTTTTCCATACCCCAGTGGTGCCTGGAACACCAGTAAGACAGAACCGTTCACTACCCTGGAAAGGGGTGCTGAAGCCAGGGAACCAAGTGATTTGGCTTAGTGGGTCCCACCCCCACAGAGCCCAGCAAACTAAGATCCACTGGCTTGAAATTCTTGCAGCCAGCACAGCAGCAGTCTGAGATCGACCTGGGATGCTCAAGTTTGGTTGAGGGAGAGGCGTCCACCATTGCTGAAGCTTGAGTAGGCAGTTTTACAGTCACAGTGTAAACAAAGCCACCAGGAAGTTGGAACCGGGCGGAGCCCACTGCAGCTCAGCAAGGCTACTGTGGCCAGACTGCCAGATTTCTCCTCTCTGGGCATGGCATCTCTGAAAAAACAGCAGCAGCCCCAGTCAGGGACTTATAGATAAAACCCCCATCTCCCTGGGACAGAGCACCCGAGGGAAGGGGCGGCTGTGGGCACAGTTTCCGCAGACTTAAATGTCCCTGCCTGATGGCTCTGAAAAGAGCAGCGGATCTCCCAGCACAGCGTTTGAGCTCTACTAAGGGTCAGACTGCCTTCTCAAGTGGGTCTCTTACCCCTGTGCCTCCTGACTGGGAGACACCTCCCAGTAGGGGCCAACAGACACCTAATACAGGAGAGCTCTGGCTGGCATCTGGCAGGTACTCCTCTGGGATGAAGCTTCCAGAGGCAGAACAGGCAGCAATCATTGCTGTTCTGCAGCCCCCACTGGTGATACCCTGGCAAACAGGGTTGGGAACGGACCTCTAGCAAACTCCAGCAGATCTGCAGCAGAACAGTCTGACAATTAGAAGGGAAACTAACAAACAGAAAGGAAAAGCACATCCACTCAAAGACCCCATTTGAAGGTCAATAACGTCAAAGACCAAAGGCAGATAAATCCACAAAGATGGGGAGAAACCAGTGCAAAAAGACTGAAAATTCCAAAAACTAGAACACCTCTTCACCTCCAAAGGATCACAACTGCTTGCCAACAAGGGAACAAAACTGGACAGAGAATGAGTTTGATGAACTGATTAGAGGTAGGCTTCAGAAGGTGGGTAATAACAAACTCCACTGAGCTAAAGGAGTATGTTCTAGCCCAATGCAAGAAAGCGAAGAACCTTGAAAAAGGTTAGATGAATTGCTAACTAGAATAACCAGTTTAGAGAAGAATATAAATGACCTGATGGAGCTGAAAAACACAGCACGAGAACTTCGTGAAACATACACAGGTATCAATAGCCAAGGTGATCAAGTGGAAGAAAGGATATCAGTGACTGAAGATAAACTTAATGAAATAAAGCGAGAAGACAAGATTAGACAAAAAGGAATAAAAAGGAATGAACAAAGCCTCCAAGAAATACGAGACTATGTGAAAAGACCAACTCTACATTTGATGGTGTACCTGAAAGTGACAGGGAGAATGGAACCAAGTTGGAAAACACTCCCCGGGCTATTATCCAGGAGAACTTCCCCAACCTAGCAAGACAGGCCAAAATTCAAATTCAGGAAATATAGAGAACACCACAAAGATACTCCTAGAGAAGAGCAACCACAAGACACATAATTGTCACATTCACCAAGGTTGAAATGAAGGAAAAAACGTTAAGGGCAGCCAGAGAGAAAGGTTGGGTTACCCACAAAGGGAAGCCCATCCAACTAATAGCAGATCTCTCTGCAGAAACCCTACAAGCCAGAAGAAAGTGGGGGGCCAATATTCAACATTCTTAAAGAAAAGAATTTTCAACTCAGAATTTCATATCCAGCCAAAATAAACATCCTAAGTGAAGGAGAAATAAAATCCTTTATAGACAAGCAAATGCTGAGATATTTTATCACCACCAGGCCTGCTTTACAAGAACTCCTGAAGGAAGCACTAAACATGGAAAGGAACAACCGGTACCAGCCACTGCAAAAACAAACCAAATTGTAAAGAACATTGACACCATGGAGAAACTGCATCAACTAATGGATGAAACAACCAGCTAGCATAATAATGACAGAATCAAATTCACACATAACAATATTAACCTTAAATGTAAACAGGCTAAATGTCCCAATTAAAAAACACAGACTGGCAAATTAAAGTGTCAAGACCCATCAGTGTGCTGTATTCAGGAGACCCATCTCACATGCAAAGACAAACATAGGCTCAAAATAAAGGGATGGAGGCATATTTACCAAGCAAATGGAAAAAAAAAAAATAAAGCAGGAGTTGCAATCCTAATCTCTGATAAAACCGACTTTAAACCAAAAAAGATCAAAAGAGGCAAAGAAGGCCATTATATAATGGTAAAGGGATCAATGCAGCAAGAAGAGCTAACTTTCCTAAATATATAGGCACCCAATACAGGAGCACCCAGATTCATAAAGCAAGTTCTCAGAGACCTACAAAAAACTTAGACTCCCACACAATAATACTGGGAGACTTTAACACCCCAATGTTAATATTAGACAGATCAACGAGACAGAAAATTAACACAGATATTCAGGAACTGAACTCAGCTCTGGACCAAGCGGACCTAATAGACATCTACAGAACTCTCCATCCCAAATCAACAGAATATACATTCTTCTCGGCACCTCATCACACTTACTTTAAAACTGACCACATAATTGGAAGTAAAATACTCTGCAGCAAATGCAAAAGAATGGAAGTTACAACAAAAAGTTTCTCGGACCACAGTGCAATCAAATTAGAACTCAGGGTTAAGAAACTCACTCAAAACCACACAACTACATGGAAAATGAACAACCTGCTCCTAAATGACTACTGGGTAAATAATGAAATGAAGGCAGAAATAAAGATGCTCTTTGAAACCAATGAGAACAAAGACACAATGTACCGGAATCTCTGGGACACATTTAAAGCAGTGTGTAGATGGAAATTTATAGCATTTAATGCCCACAAGAGAAAGCAGAAAAAATCTAATATTGACACCCAAATGTCAATATTAAAAGAACTAGAGAAGCAACCACAAACAAATTCAAAAGCTAGCAGAAGAAAAGAAATAACTAAGATCAGAGCAGAACTGAAGGAGATAGAGGCATGAAAAACCCTTCAAAAAAATCAATGAATCCAGGAAATGGTTTGTTGAAAAGATCAACAAGACAGATAGACTACTAGCCAGACTAATAAAGAAGAAAAGAGAGAAGAATCAAATAGACACAATAAAAAATGATATGGGGGGATATCACCACTGATCCCTCAGAAATACAAACTACCATCAGAGAATACTATAAACACTTCTATGCAAATAAACTAGAAAATCTAGAAGAAATGGATAAATTCCTGGACATATACACCCTCCCAAGTCTAAACCAGGAAGAAGTTGAATCCCTGAATAGACCAATAACAAGTTCTGAAATTGAGGCAACAATTAATAGCTTACCAACCAAAAAAAGTCCAGGACCAAATGGATTCACAGCCAAATTCCACCAGAGCTACAAAGAGGAGCTGGTACCATTCCTTCTGAAACTATTCCAAACAACAGAAAAAGAGGGAATCCTCCCTAACTCATTTTATGAGGCCAACATCATCCTGGTACCAAAACCTGGCAGAGACACAAAAATAAAAGAAAATTTCAGGCCAATATCCCTGATGAACATCGATATGAAAATCCTCAATAAAATACTGGCAAACTGTATCCAGCAGCTCATCAAAAATCTTATCCACCACGATCAAGTTGGCTTTATACCTAGGACGCAAGGCTGGCTCAACATATGCAAATCAATAAATGTAATCCATCACATAAACAGAACCAATGACAAAAACCACGTGATTATCTCAATAGATGCAGACAAGGCTTTTGACAAAATTCAACACCCCTTCATTCTAAAAACTCTCAATAAACTAGGTATCGATGGAATGTATCTCAAAATAATAAGAGCTATTTACGACAAACCCACAGCCAATATCATACTGAATGGGCAGAAACTGGAAGCATTCCCTTTGAAAACCTGCACAAGACAAGAATGTCCTCTCTCACCACTCCTATTCAACATCGTATTGGAAGTTCCAGCCAGGGCAATCAGGCAACAGAATGAAATAAAGGGTATTCAAATAGGAAGAGAGAAAGTCAAATTGTAATTGTCTCTGCTTGCAGTTGACATGATTGTATATTTAGAAAACCCCATTGTCTCAGCCCAAAATCTCCTAAGTCTGATAAGCAACTTCAGCAAAGTCTCAGGATACAAAATCAATGTGCAAAAATCACAAGCATTCCTATACACCAATAACAGACAGAGAGCCAAATCAGGAGTGAACTTCCATTCACGATTGCCACTAAAAGAATAAAATACCTAGGAATACAGCTTACAAGGGATGTGAAAGACCTCTTCAAGGAGAACCACTACAAACCACTCTTCAAGGAAATAAGAGAGGACACAAACAAATGGAAAAACGTTGCATGCTCATGGATAGGAAGAACCAATATTGTGAAAACGGCCATACTGGCCAAGATAATTTATAGATTCAATGCTATCCCCATCAAGCTACCAATGACTTTCTTCACAGAATTGGAAAAAAAACTACTTTAAGCTGCATATGGAACCAAAAAAGAGCTTGCAGAGCTAAGACAATCCTAAGAAAAAGAACAAAGCTGGAGGCATCATGCTACCTGACTTCTAACTATATTACAAGGCTACAGTAACCAAAACAGCATGGTACTGGTATGAAAACAAAGATATAGACCAATGGTACAGAACAGAAGCCTCAGAAATGACACGACACATTTACAACCATCTGATCTTTGACAAACCTGACACAAACAAGCAATGGGGAAAAGATTCCCATTTAATAAATGGGTGTTGGGAAAACTGGCTAGCCATATGCAGAATACTGAAACTGGATCCCTTCCTTACACATTATACAAAAATCAACTCAAGATGGATTAAAGACTTAAATGTAAGACTTAAAACCATAAAAATCCTAGAAGAAAACCTGGACAATACTATTCAGGACATAGGCATGGGCAAAAACTTCATGTCTAAAACACCAAAAGCAATGGCAACAAAAGCCAAAATTGACAAATGGGATCTAATTAAATCAAAGAGCTTCTGCACAGCAAAATAAACTGTCATCATAATGAATAGACAACCTACAGAATGGGAGAAAATTTTTTTGCAATCTGTCCATCTGACAAAGGGCTAATATCCAGAATCTACAAAGAACTTAAACAAATTTCCAAGAAAAAAACAAATAATCCCATCAAAAAGGGGGCAAAGGATATGAACAGACGCTTCTCAGAAGAAGACATTTTTGCAGGCAACAGACATATGAAAAAATGTTCATCATTACTGGTCATTACAGAAATGTAAATCAAAACCACAATGAGATACCATCTCACGCCAGTTAGAATGGTGATAAAAGTCAGGAAACAACAGATGCTGGAGAGGATGTGGAGAAATAGGAATGCTTTTACACTGTTGGTGGGAGTGTAAATGAGTTCAACCATTGTGGAAGACAGTGTGATGATTCAAGGATCTATAACTAGAAATACCATTTGACCCCTCAATACTGGGTATATACCCAAAGGATTATAAATCATTCTACTATAAAGACACATGCACATATATGTTTACTGCAGCACTATTCACAATAGCAAAGACTTGGAACCAACCCAAATGTCCATCAATGATAGACTGGATAAAGAAAATGTGGCACATATACACAATGGAATACTATGCAGCCATAAAAAAGGATGGGTTCATGTCCTTTGCAGGGACATAGATGAAGCTGGAAACCATCATTCTCAGCAAACTATCACAAGAACACAAAACCGAACACCACATGTTCTCACTCATAAGTGAGAGTTGAATGATGAGAACACATGGACACAGGGAGGTGAACATCACACACCGGGGCCTCTTGGCGGGTGGAGGGCTAGGGGAGGGCTAGCGTTAGGACAAATACCTAATGTAGGTGACAGGTTGATGGGTGCAGCAAACCACCATGGCATGTGTATACCTATGTAACAAAACTGCACATTTTACACATGTACCCCAGAACTTAAAGTATAATAATAATAATAAAAACTGGAACAAGGCAAGGATGCCCACTGTCACCACTTCCCTTTAACACACTACTGGAAGTCCTGACAAGAGCAATCAGGCAAGAGAAAGAAATAAAAGGCATTCAAATAGGAAAAGATGAAATCAAACTATACCTGTTTGCAGATGAAATGATTCAATTTGTAGAAAGCCCCATAGTCTATGCCCAAAAGCTCCTTGATCTGATAAACAACTTAAGTGAAGTTTCATAATACAAAATCAATGTGCAAAAATCACTAGCATTCCTATATACCAACAACAGCCAAGCCAATAGCTAAATCAAGTATGCAATTTCATTCACAATAGCCACAAAAAGGATAAAATATCTAGAAATACAACTAACCATGGAGGTGAAAGATCTCTACAAGAAGAACTGCAATACACTGCTCAAAGAAATCAAAGATGACACAAACAAATGAAAAAACATTCCATGCTCATGGATAGGAAGAATCAATATTGTCAAAGTGTTCATAGTGCCAAAAGCAAATTTATAGATTGTAAGATATCCCTATTAAACTAACAATAATATTCTTGACAGAATTAGAAATAATTATTTAAAAATACACATGAAACCAAAAAAGAGCCTGAATAGCCAAGGGAATCCTAAGCAAAAAGAACAAAACTGGAGGCATTACCTTACGCAACCTCAACCTATACTATAGGGCTACACAGTAGCCCAGGCAGCATGATACTGGCACAAAAACGGATACACAGACCAATAGAACAGAATAGAGAGCCCAGAAATTATGCAGCATACCTACAACCATTTGGTCTTCGATAAAGCCAACAAAAACAAGCAATGGGAAAAAGACTCCCTATTCAATAAATAGTGTTGAGTTAACTTGCTAGCCATATGGAGAATATTGAAACTAGACCCCTGACTTACGCCATATACAAAAATCAACTCAAGATGGATTCAAGGCTTAAATGGAAAGTCTAAAACTAAAATATCCTGAAAGGTAACCTAGGAAATACCATTGTAGACATAGAAATAGGCAAAAATTTCATGACAAAGATGCCAAAAGCAATTGCAGCAAAACTAACAACTGACAAATGGGATCTAATTAAACTAGAGCTTCTGCACAGCAAAATAAATTATTAACAGAGTAAACAGACAACCTGCAGAATGGGAGAAAATATTTGCAAACTATGCATCTGATAAGGGTCTAATATGCAGAATCTATAAGGAACTTAAACAAATCAACAAGCAAAAAAACAAATAACCCTATTAAAAAGTGGGCAAAGGACATGAACTTTTCGAAAGAAGATGTAAATGTGGCCAAAAAGCATATGAAAACATGGTCAACATCAGTAATCATCAGAGAATTGCAAATCAAAACCACAATGAGATGTCATCTTACATCAGTCAGAATGGTTATTAATAAAAGCTAAAAAAAAACAGATGCTGGCAAGGTTGCAGAGAAAAGGAAACACTAATTACACTGCTGGTGGGAATGTAAATAGTTCAGCCATTGTGGAAAGCTGCTTGGTGATTTTTCAAAGAACTCGAAGCAGAATTACCATTTGACCCAGCCATCCCATTATTGAGTATATACTCAAAGGAATATAAATCATTCTACCATAAAGACACATGTACACGTGTGCTCATTGGAGGACTATTCACAATAGCAAAGGCATAGAATCGGCCTAAATGCCCATTAATGGTAGACTGGATAAAGAAAATGTGGTACAAATATACCATGGAATACTACACAGCCATAATAAAAATGAGATCATGTGCTTTGCAGCAACAGGAATGAAACTGGAGGTCATTATCCTAAGCAAACTAATACAGGAACAGAAAACCAAATATTGCATATTCACGCATAAAAGTGGGGGCTAAATACTGAGTACAAATGGTCACAAAGAAGGGAACAACAGAGACTGAGGCCTACGTGAGAATGGAGGGAGGCAGGAGGAGGATCAAAACACTACCTATCAGGTACTATGCTTATTACCTGGGTGGAAAAATAATCTATACACCAAACCCCCTGGCATGCAATTTACCTATATAAGAGACCTGCACATGTACCCCTGAAACTAAAATAAAAGTTGAAAAAAAAGACCTTATATTCTAGATGCAAAATTAGAAAGGCACACTCCTGCCCTCAAGAAGTGCAGTCTTCTTGGAGAGCTAGGGAGTGTCTGGGACTAAAAGAAAAACTTTTTTTCTATACTCACAATACTTCTGACACCAAATGGATGATTTTCCATACCAAGCAATTCTCTAATTCTCTGTGGACACCAACTGGGTGCCCTACAATTTAATTCAATTCAGACACTACCTGGAGTTAGTGCAGACCCCACAGGTTAAGGGCTCAGTCCCACAAGACTGCCTCTCACTTCAGATGCCAATTGCAAGTAGTGGGTCCCCAGGTTACCCATACTTTTGCGTGACTTGGTTACAACTTGAGGGTTCCAGGATTCCCTCTCCAGGTACTCCACTCCCAGAACCTTGTTCCAAAAGCTCCTCGTACCCCATTGTTTAGGGTTTTCATGGAGGTTCCGTTACATAAACATGATTGATAGAATCACTGGCCATTGGTAATTAGCTCAATCTTCATTCCACCCCAGGCCAGATAGTGGGGCTTAAAGTTCCAACCTTCTAACCACATGGTTGGTTCCTCTGACAACCAGCTCCCATCTTCCAAGAGTCACCACATTAATAAAAACTCAAGTTATGGTTGAAGGGGCCTTATTAGGAATCACAAAAGATGTTCCTCTCACCCTTATCACTCAGGAAATTTCAAGGGTATGTGTAAAGAATGGAGGAAGAAGACCAAATAAGTATTTCTTCTATCATGATATCACAGAAACTTTATATAATATAATGCACAATATACTCCTATGGCATAGAAAGAGAAGTATAGGCATATATCAGAGATACTGCGGGTTCAGTTCCAGACCACTACAATAAAGTGAGTATTGTAATGAATTAAGTCACACAATTTTTTTGGTTTCCCAATGAGTACAAAAGTTATGTTCATTCTATGCTATAGTCTATCAAGTGTACAATAGCATTTTATTTTAAAAAACAATGTGTGCACCTTAATTTAAAATACTTTATTGCTTAGGTAGGAGAGAAGATTTGGAATGTTCTCAACACAAATAAATGATAAGTGTTTGAAGTGATGGAGATCCCAATTACCCTAATTTGATCATTACACATTGTATGCGTGTATCAAAATATCACATGTACCCCCCAAATATGTACAATTATTATGTATCAAGTTTTAAAGCCTTAGAAAGAATACTTTACAGCTAAAAAATGTCAACCATCATCTGAGACTTCAGCAAGTTATAATTTTTTTTTTTTTTTTTTTTTTTATTGAGATGGATTCTCTCCCTGTTGTCCAGGCTGGTGTGCAATGATCTTGGCTCACTGCAACCCTCATGTCCCGGATTCAAGTGATTCTCCTGCCTCAGCCTCCCGAGTAGCTGGGATTACAGGCACGTGCCACCACACCTGGCTAATTTTTTGTATCTTTAGTAGAGATGGGGTTTCACCATGTTGGTGAGGCTGGTTTTGAACTCCTGACCTCGTGATCCGCCTGCCTTGACCTCCCAAAGTGCTTGGACTACAGGTGTGAGCCACCGTGCCTGGCCCAGCAAGTTATAATCTTTTTGCTGGTGAGGGGTTTTGCCTTAGTGATGGTTTCTGACTGATCGAGGTGGTGGTTGTCAAAGGTTGAGGTGTTGTGGCAATTTCTTAAAATAAGACAATAATCAGCTTACCAAATTGACCGACTCTTCATGAGATATTTCTCTGTAGCATGAGATGTGTTTGGTAGCATTTTGCCTACCATAGAACTTCTTTCAAAATTCGAATCAATCTTCTCAAACCCTGCCACTGCTTTATCAAACAAGTTTATGTAATATTCTAAATTCTTTGTTGTCATTTCAACAATGTTCACAGTACCTTCACCAGGAGTATATTCTTTCTTCAGAAACCACTGTCTTTGCTCATCCATAAGAAGCAACTCCTCATTCAACAAAGTTTTATCATGAGATTGCAGCAATTCAGTCACATCTTTAGGCTCCACTTGTAATTCTAGTTCTCTTGCTATTTTCACCATATCTGCAGTTACTTCCTTCCCGTGAAGTCTTCAACTCCTCAAAGTTACCAATGAGAGTTGGAATCAACTTCTTTCAAACTCCTGTTAATGCTGATATTTTGACCTCCTCCCATGAATCACAAATGTTCTTAATGGAATCCAGTATGGTGAATCTTTTTCCATAATGTTTTCAATTTACTTTGTCCAGATCTGTCAGAGGAATCACTATGGCAGATGTAGCTTTACTAAACATACTTAAATAATAAGACTTGAAAGTCAAAATTACTCCTTGATCCATGGGCTGCAGAATGGATGCTGTGTTACCAGGCATAAAAACAACATTAGTCTCCTTGTACATCTCCATTAGATTTCTTGAGTTACCAGGAATATTAGTGAGGAGTAATACTTTGAAAGGAATCTCTTTTTCTGAACAGTAGATCTCAACAGTGGGCTCAAACTATTCAGCAAACCATGCTGTAAAACAGATGTGCTGTCATTCAGACTTTGTTGCTGTATTTATAGAGCACAGGCAGAATAGAGTTAGCAAAATTCTTACAGGTTCTTGGATTTCTGGAACGGTAAGCAAGCATTAGCTTCAACTTAGTCACTAGCTGTATTTGCCCCTAACAAGAGAATCAGCCTGTCCTTTGAAGCTTTGAAGCCAAGCATTCTTTCTAGCTATGAAAGTCCTAGATGGTACTTTCTTGCAGTAAAAGGCTGCCTTTTCTATATTGAAAATTTGTTGATTAGTGTAGTCAACCTTAATTATCTTTGCTAGATATTCTGAATAACTTGCTGCAGCTTCTCCAACAGCACATGCTGTTTCACTTTGCACCTTTATGTTCTGGAGGTGGCTTCTTTCCTTAAACCTAATGAAACAACCTCTGCTAGCTTCCAACTTTTCTTCTGCAGCTTCCTCATCTCTCTCAGCCTTCAGAGAATTGAAGAAAGTTAGGCCCTTACTCTGGATTAGGCTATGGCTTAAAGAATGTCATGGCTGGTTTAGTCTTCTATTTAGACCACTAATACTTTCTCCATATCAGCAATAAGGCCGAAAATGTTTAAAATGTTGTAAGAATTACCAAAATGTGACACAGAGACACAAACTGAACACACGACTTTGGAAAAATGAGGCCAATAGACTTGCTGGATGAAGGGTTGCCACAAAACTTCAATTTGTAAAAAACACATTATCTATGAAGTGCAGTAAAGTGAAGCACAGTAAAACAAGGTAAGCCTGTATAACCTTGGTTCTAATTTCCAACTGTTTTGATCCTACTAGTTGTGAAACTTTTTTGTAGGTTTTGGTAAGATTCTTTTTTTTTATTATTATACTTTAAGTTTTATGGTACATGTGCACATTGTGCAGGTTAGTTACATATGTATACATGTGCCATGCTGGTGTGCTGCACCCATTAACTCGTCATTTAGCATTAGGTATATCTCCTAATGCTATCCCTTCCCCCTCCCCCCACCCCACAACAGTCCCAAGAGTGTGATGTTCCCCTTCCTGTGTCCATGTGTTCTCATTGTTCAATTCCCATCTATGAGTGAGAACATGCGGTGTTTGGTTTTTTGTCCTTGTGATAGTTTACAGAGAATGATGATTTCCAATTTCATCCATGTCCCTGCAAAGGACATGAACTCATCATTTTTTATGGCTGCATAGTATTCCATGGTGTATATGTGCCACATTTTCTTAATCCAGTCTATCATTGTTGGACATTTGGGTTGGTTCCAAGTCTTTGCTATTGTGAATAGTGCTGCAATAAACATACGTGTGCATGTGTCTTTATAGCAGCATGATTTATAGTCCTTTGGGTATATACCCAGTAATGGGATGGCTGGGTCAAATGGTATTTCTAGTTCTAGATCCCTGAGAAATCGCCACACTGACTTCCACAATGGTTGAACTAGTTTACAGTCCCACCAACAGTGTAAAAGTGTTCGTATTTCTCCACATCCTCTCCAGCACCTGTTGTTTCCTGACTTTTTAATGATTGCCATTCTAACTGGTGTGAGATGGTATCTCATAGTGGTTTTGATTTGCATTTCTCTGATGGCCAGTGATGATGAGCATTTTTTCATGTGTTTTTTGGCTGCATAAATGTCTTCTTTTGAGAAGTGTCTGTTCATATCCTTTGCCCACTTTTTGATGGGGTTGTTTGTTTTTTTCTTGTAAATTTGTTTGAGTTTGGGTAAGATTCTTAACTTTCAGATTGGAGTTTTCATGTCTGAGTAATGGGGATATTAAAGAATTGCCCTTGAAAAGTTATTGTGAAAATTATTGTAGGTGTAGATGTAATGTGTTATAAAGAACTTGAGTTCTGGATTCAAAAAGAACTACATTTGAATCTTGAACCCACCAGTGAGTTTGACTCTGTGACCCTGGACAATTTTCAACATCTCTTGGAGTCTCACATCATTATGAGGGTAGTTATCTTACTTGCAGAGTGGTTGAAAAGAGTAAAGCTAGCACATGTTAATACCCAACATACTGCCTGACACATAATATGTACTAATCAAGGTGAGTTTACTTCCAATCTACCTCTAAACCTATTTTCTCTCCTTTAATTTATGAGAACCTAGGAGGAAATGAGTTATTCCTGGTGATGCGGTGGCAGGCTCATGAAAGAAGGTACAGAGGAGGAGCTCAAAAGCTCCTTGTGTAGGGCTTGGATGAATGGGAATAAAAAAGGAAGCACATAAGGGAATAATATGAACAAAGGCTTGGAGGTGACAAACTATGAGTGGTGTTTGGACAAAAGGGAGTCATTCAATGTTTGGCAGAGTGAGGTGTAGAGAGATCAAAGAGCAGTGAGACCTGTGGCTTTCTTGAGAAGACCATCATTCACAGTAAATGTGAAAGAAAATCTCGAACCATGGATATCTTAGGAACCTCTAGAGGACCTCCATGTCCATCAAGATAAATCCCAATTCTCAACCCGGAGTCCAAGTCTTGATGGTACTGGTTCCCAACTGTGAGATACTACAAATACTCCTACTTCCCAGGATGAAGCCTGCATCAAAAGTATTCGCACAACGGGAGACTTACTCCAGAGAGCTATCTGGGCTTCAAACATTGAGAACGTACCGCAGTGTTGAGAGCAAGGGCCTTGGTGAACACTGAGTTCAAAGTTCCGGCTCTTCCACTTTCTGTCCTTCTGACCTTGGGTAAATTACTCCACTTCAAGTTTTTATTTCCCCATATGAAATATTCTCTGATATGGCAATAAAACAGACTTTACCTCTTGGTGTGGTTATGAAGACTAAATGAAATAATGTATAAAAGGTACTTAGCATAGTGACTGGCAACGAAGGAAGGGTCCAATAAATGGCAAGTATTTCTATTTTAAATAAATCAAGTTGCTTGTTTTACCAGATCAAAGGAAGAAGGGAGTTTTTCTTCTAAGGCTCCTCACAATGGCTGCAGCAGAAGCAAAGGTGGTATTATTACCGGCCCTTGGGAATGGCTCTTGGGCTGTCACCTCCCAGTGATTCTAGCTCCATGAAGGCATTGATGAAAGCAAAGGTACTTATATATTTAGGGCTTGTATGGGATTTAGAAATTATCCAATCTAGTCCACACTCCTCATTTGACAGACTGAGAAACTGCTGGCCTACAAGAGTTAATTCAAAGTCCTGACTGGCTAGCCAGCAAGTTAGTGGCAGAGTGAAACAAAGAACCCAGGTCTTCTGACTCTCAAACGTATCCTCTTCTAATATTATGATTACAATTGATGAAGTTCCTGGAAACATAGTATCATATCTCAGATGTGCTCTGTCTTTTTTTTCCCCTACTTGCTTTATAATTTTTCATTGTAGAAAAAAATAAAACAACAAAATAGAAAGTCCTGTCTTGAGGCTTCACTTGATTTCATTTATAGTAGATGCAAGGCATAAATAAATACAGTAAGTTAAAAATAAACCTCCTGGTATGGCTATAACTTTATTTATTTAGCTTGTTTTTTCTTCTTCTTTTTTTTCCTACCCTATGGATTTAATAATGGTAACCCTGACTCTGTTGGAGCATAACGATGTTGCAACTGAAGATATTATATATAGTGACCTCTCTTCTCCAGAATTTCTGTCATCATGTCAGTAAAGACATGATTCGCAGGGCTAGCAAAACAATCAAAAATAAGTTTTAGGATTGGTCTGACTTTACTTCTTCAAGTGCTCATTCTATTCATTCTGCAAATAGAAAACTCCGACTGAGCACTTATTTTATGCCAGCTTCCGTGCTGAACACTGGAAGCTAGAAGTGAATGTGACCTGACCTATGTCTTCAGGAATCTTACAGTCTACTAAAGAGAGAAACAGTTCCTAAACTGTGTGATGGGTACTATGATGGGGGAAGCTTAGAGGACTGGGGACACAGATGAGTAGCACCCATCTGGCCTGGAGGAAGAGGGATGGTGTCCAGAGAAGCAGCTTGTGAAGGGTCATGCTTCGATGGCTCACTTGAGCAGCATGCATACTAAAATTGAAATTAGACAGAACTGAGATGATTAAGATGCTAAGATAAATCTTTATAGAGAGACTGAATAGAATAATGTGTAAAGATGTTAAGCTTGGGTTGTAATCCTGGCTCTACCATCCATTATAGAAGTGTCTTGAGACAGTTAATTTCCTTGTCTATAGCCCAATTTTCTAATTTTGAAACTCAAGTATCTTTTTTCTAGACTGTACCTAAGCCCCTTTTAGTCACTACAATTTTGTGGCTGGGTGGAATATGTCTTTCTTGAGGTCAGGATCATGTCTTATTTATGTCTACATTCCCAGGGCTGAGCGCAGGTCTTCGTACTCAGAGCAAGCTGCATTTGTGGAATATAAGAAAATTTTCAATTGGATCCCTTTAGTTGAGCCAGTAAATTAAAAGGATTAGGTCTTTTCAAATGATTTCCTTAGACTGGAATTTAAAAGCATGTCTTTAGTGATAGAATATGTGACTTTTGGAAGCCTATATTACTTTTGTCCCAAATGAAGAGAAATGCAGCAAATTCACAAGAAATCATACTTTTGGCAGTAGTGATGGTGCCAGTGGGAACATCAGTAAAATAAACCAATCATCTACCACAATTTCCTGATATTATAATTGTTTGTCATCATTTAGAGACAGCAGCCCAAAATTCTTTCGAGGCAATAAAGAACTTAATGAGAAGACGTGTACTCAGTGAATAATTTATATTTGAGAACCAAAACAGGGAAGTTCCAGAAGAAGCAAAGGTTTTTATTCCAGAAGAGGGTGAGACTGAAAGGGGCAAAGTCATATGGCAATGAGTTGGGAGGAGTTTCAGAACACAGCTCCTGGCCAAATATTCATAGAACTGAAGGTTAGAGTATGACTTGGGTGCTTTATTAAGGTTCTTCCTGCTTGGAGGCTGATGAGAGTATAGCCACCATCCTCCAACCACCAAGATTGATCGCTCTTTGTGGATGAGAGGTCTTTGTTTATGAAAATGTCTTGTGAGCAGTAAGATTGCCAAATTGCTGTAATTAGGGATGTAAGAAAGCATCATTGTCATCATCGTAGTCACTGTCGTCATCAACATCGTCCTTGTCATCATCACTTTCAGCATTGTTTCCCAAAGGGTGGGGGTGCAGAATGGGCATGGAAGGTGAAATTTGAGAAGTTATTGCATGTACATGTTCAGTTATCTGCCAGCAGAATGGCTTAGGAAGTTATTTTTAACCTCTTCTATACCTCTGAATACCCTTCTATGAAATGGGTCAACCAGTAAAATGTTGTTTTGGGGATGAAATGAAATTATTTATGTAAAGAACCTGGTCCATGAGAAGTTTTTGATTCAGGGCACTGCATTACAACAAGTGAGCCTCTCAGTGGAGGGTGATGTCTGTTCAAGACCAAGCAGAATGGGAAAACATGGATAACGCCAAAACAACTGGGAGCAGGCCTAAGTTACTGATGGGAGGGGAGGATGGAGAAATTGAGTGCTTGGACCCAGATGAGAACAGGCTGGCTTCCCAGGGCACTAAGCAGTCAGATATGCTAACTTTTATTGTTCTAAAGGTATTTGGGGCTACTGTCTTGAAGGAAAGAAAAGCAGTTACTTCAGAACCTTTGTGATAGCCATATAGGTCTATGGTTCTAGGCTCATATTGCTGCTGCTCCCATCCACACCATAAGAACCGCAAATAATACCATTCATGGAGTATTGCTGCATGCAGTTCACTGTGATATGTCCTTTGCAGCATTATGTCACTTTATCCTCACAATAATACCTATGAGGTAGGTACTATCATAATCACTGTTTTACAGATGAGAAAACAGAAATTCAGAACAGTTAAGTATTTACCAAGGTCAATGGTAAATATAGTAAATGGTAGAGTCAGGACTCAAACCAAATCTAAATGGTGTTGACTGTACTTCTAACCATTATGCTAGTCTTCAAGGCAGCATAACTTCGAACTTCTCAGATGAGTTGAAATGAGCTGAGACAGGGAGAGGCTGTCATTGAACCATCACTCTATATACCATAAGGTATAGTTTCTTATAAAATCGGTGACACTGAACTTTACAACTCCAGAGGGCAGATGTACTTCACGGTTATCAGAGATTTGCATATTTCTTAAACAATTTTCTGTTTATTGGTAGAAGAGGTGCCATCTTCTAATTTGCACCAGTTTACCATATCAGTCAGTGGAGGGCGAAATATTCACTATTTTGTTTTCTTGTGTTAGGCATTTGTACTTAAGATAACCCATAATACGTGCTCTATCCTGAAGTCCTATTGCAGGAAGTTGTACTATGCCATGATTCCTTTCTTATCCCAGCCGCAGCTAATTGGCCACAGACTGACTGACTCAATGACAGCCATAGGCTGAAAGCCTACCATGAAAATCTGACATTCTACACTGGACAGTGACTGGTAATTCATTCATGATCACTCTCTTTGTGAGTCTGGATATAAGAAAAGGGAGGGAAATGGTGAGGAAGAAAAGGAGGGGGGAGAGAATAAGAAACATGTGAGTGTGTGTGTGTATGTGTGTGTATGTGTGTGTGGGTGTGTGTGTGTGTAGAGAGAGAGAGAGAGAAAGTTTGTGTATGTGTCTCTTCATTATTATTTACAGTGGCAGAATCAGTTAGTTCCAAGACATAAATAAGCCAAGTCACATTGGTGGTTATGGATGCTTTTGCTGTGCCAAGCAAAGAAACTTGCTGGGATCTCCCCGAGGAAGGTGTCTCCCTCTTTGCATTACATGTCTTGGGATTCATGCTCTGCCTGAAACTCATGCCCTTATATGTCTCTTCTCTGTTCTTCCGTATGGCTGCTTCCTCCCATTTGTAGCCTAAGCTCTGGATGTAAAAGCTCAAGGTCATCCTTATGTCTCATGTATAATTCAACCAGAATCTCCAGAGCTGGGCCAGGCCACAGTTTGACACAAATGTCTAAACTAATAGTGGTTTCTTTGATTTGTGTCCTCTTTACTTAGATCTGTATTGAAAACTCTGATAAAGGTAGACAATTTGGTTCTCCAGGATTCTCTTTCTCAGATGAATGATAAATAATCTCATCATCATTTTACTAAAGGTGAAACTGAGGCATAGTGTGGCAATGCATTTGTCAAAGTCACATTTGAAATCAGATCTGACTGGCTTCTGATCCCGTTACTCTGTCTGTAGCACCATGTGGCCTCCTGCCATAAATTAGCTTGTGCTTCCTCATAACATGATAGGAAAGAAACAAATCTACGCCTTTTTTTATTCCTTGAGCACGAAGCTTCATTTCTGCTAATACTCTCACTCTATGGTGACCCAAATGGGTTATTTCTTCCTTCTTGCCATAGATTCTCCTGCCATAGTCATACCAGAGTGCATGAACAACTGCCTCCTTTAGCAAGGAAAGAAAACTTAGGAGAAATCTGAGATGTCCTGATTGGGCTCTTATCCTCTTCTTATAAATGGATGCCCAAAGCAGGGCTACTTGTTACTAATTGTTATGAAAATAATATAATTTATCAATGATGTAGATTCTTTTCAGTTTATAATAACTTTCATACATACCATTTTATAAATTAATGTATTCACACATTCAATAACCATGTATCTCAGGTCGGGTCCTATACTGGCCACTGAGAACACAGGTATAATGTGTCAAAGAAAAATTTTATTCTCTTAGCAGGAGGCAAATTATTTTGCCAGAGACAGACTCACTATATTGGGTTATGCTTTAATTATTCTGCTTATGGCAGGAGGGTCCCAGGGAAATTGGGTATCTTCTGTTCCCAAGGTGGTGGAGAATTTGATAAAGCTGCTTTGTGTGCAATCACAACAGGAATCTGCTGAGGAAAGGAAAGAAGGCAAATGGGAGGAAAATGGGATCGCCAGGGAGGTTAGAGCTGGACACTGTAGTCCGAGCTGAGGCCTCTCCCCATGCCCCTGCAAAACTGCAATAAAATTGTAAAGTCACACAACTGGTGGAGTGGATACATTTATTTGTAGAAACTGGTGGAAGGGGTTGATGAATAGGGATGAGTTGGGACAGCACTGACGTGCAAGAGTTGGAGTTGAAGGAAGGATGGCTTCCACAGACTGGATTTTCAAAGAGAAATGAAAGCCTAGACCAGGCCCTCAGCAGCTGATGGCCTAGAAGATCTAGCAGAGGCATAAGCAGATGGTAATACAGCAACAGGCTTGAGAGTAGAGGTGAGCATGGTAAGCAGGGAGAGCCCCTAGGACAGGTTATGCATCTCTGCCCCATGAACAGGCAGGAAGAGGTGACAGGGCAGCCACATTGAGGACAACTGGACAGTCTCTGGACAGACACAGGGGAGGCGAGACCATCCCAGAGAAAAGAAATAGCTGTGCAAAATTATTTAGATGCTTTTCCTTGTGTCTGGAAAATGGGGTGCATAGAGGTGCAGCGAGAAGGTGGCTGGAGAAGTTGACAAAGGCCAGATGTCAAGGTGGGATACCTTAAGGCTGGATGATGGGCCACCACTAGGAGTTTTAAGGATGTCAATTTTGGAACTACTAGGGAGATAAATTATTAGCTGAAAACGTGAACAAGTGAATGGTTTGGGCTAAAGCAATTCAGTACAGGTGAAGCAATGAGGTGTTGAGGTGGGATGGGCAAACTGCTGGGGGGAAGTGGACAGAAATCTCCTGCCATCCCCATTGCTGGGCCTACTAAAGTCACCTACAGCTGGTACTGGTAGCCTTATGGGCAGATACATAGGTTGCTATCATAATCTGCTCCTTGGCCGAGAGCATATGTGATACTTTCTTGGTGCAGGGCTGGTTGGATATTAACTATTCCATTTGACCACGGGAATAGAGCAGATGCTTTCTCCTGGGTCAGGGAAACAATCTAGACTGTTATCTGTCTATGTGGGACAACACGAAGTGTGGGAGTCATTTCCACTCTACCCCCTAGCATCTGTTCTCAGATTCAGACACTTATTTGAGAATATATCAGGTGCCATACTTAGTGACAAGGATTTTCACATCAATTAATTCCCTTATTTCTCTAAACAAGCCTGAATCGTTATTGGTCATTCCTTATAGCTATTATCTCTGCAACTTGGCTTAGTAATTGGGTGAAACAACCAGGGTTTTCAAATCCCAGGGCTTGAACTCAGAAAAATCCAATGCTTCACATTCCTCTATTAGCACTAAAGCTAGCATGAAAGCAAAGTAGTTCTGGGTAAGGAAAAAGAGGTGAAAACACAGATTCTTTCCCCCAAGAAGTTCACTGACTAGAGTGGAGATGGGCAGGCAAATAGCCCATTGCAATGTACTATTGTAACCCTTACAATTTCAGGAGGCAATTACTGTTATCATCCACATTTCAAATATATGTAAACTGAGGCACAGAGAGGTTAAATCACTGTCTCCCAGTTACACAGCTAGAAAGAGGAAAGCCAGGCTTCAGATGCCAACCATATGGCTCTGAGTCTGTGTTCTTAACCATGGCATTGTATTGTGCTTTAACCTAGAGTAGGCGATATCATGTTACTCCCTCCTCCATGACCTGCAGCCCCACTGGGTTGCTCTACTACAGTGATTCTCAAGTGGGGACAATTTTGCCCCCCTGGGGACATTTGGCAATTTCTGGAGACATTTTTGACTGTCACAACTTGGGTGGAGGGTTGCTACTAAAATGTAGTCAGTAGAAGTCAGGGGTGGTGGTAACCATGTTACAATACACAGGACAGCCGACACAATAAAAAATTACCTGCCCTAAAATGTCAGTGGTGCTCAGGTTGAAGAACTCTTACTAGAGGACCTATCGGGCTACTCTAAGTGATGGCTTCTTGCCAGTCTTGCTAGGATGAGCTCCCCTGTGCCTAGCACAGACCTAGGCATGTAGGAGAATCTATAAATGTCTGTGGAATACATGAAAGGGTGAATAAAATAGGCAATTTGGGCAATTTGGGTTGGCTGCATCATATAATTCTGGCTATTATGCATTTATACAGGAATGATTTTTTAAATAATCTGTGAAAATGAACCAGAAATTCCTGTCCCCAAGCTCATAGCCCAGGGTAGAGGGGCAGCAGAGAAGCATGCATAGCTATGAGCCAAGGCAGGCAAGAGAGGGGCATCAGAGGAGGTCGCCTGTGCACGGAGGAAGCTGAACTCTCAGGCTTCTTTGAGAAATGTCCCTTTGCAAACAAGGCAGTGGTTTGGGAGACTTCGGTTTTCACTCTGAATTTTTCAGTGTGTGAACTCAATTACCACTTGGGATCAGGCTAGAGATTTAGTGATAATAGGAAGCATTTTCCCCCCAGCTACCCCATTGCTCCAGTCTGAGGCTGGTTTTCCTACATCCTCCTTATAATGACTATTCAAGACTGGAACCAGAGCAAACAGACAAAACGGTACCGACTTGCAGACTAATTAATTAAAGGCCTAGATAAATTACAATGTTATTTATTGCTCAATTATAGTAATTATTTTATCCATGTTTTTGGTGTAATTATCTCCTCTTTCTTTGTATTGTTTCTGATTCCTCCTTTAACTATCCACTCTACTCATGTGTTGATGTTTTTCTTTGTCACTGAGTATCCTTTGGGGGAAGTAAGCAAGATAGTAAATTACCAATAAATGCTGACCCACAGAACACCAACGCTGAAAGTGCCTCAGTGGCTCATTTTGTGTTGCAGATGAGTAAAATGAGTTCTGAGAAGCAAAAGAACTTGCCGGAGGAGAATGAGACCTGGAATGGGGACTTTCAGGATACAGCTTATATTGAGATGCTATGACAACTTAATATTGATGAAGTATGCGTTTTATTTTTACCCATAGTAAGTGTCTCATAAACAACATCTGTGAAAGGATACCAAGAAATCAATCCCTTTAATCCATGTAAAATGACTTATCCTTAAGGTCTGAATCTCTGATGGTTATTTTTCTGTTACAGGTTTGGCTGCCTCCCTTCAAGACCTATGAACATTTGTGGAAGTGAATCACAGATAAGTAGAGCTTTCCTTCTCTTCTCCTATTCAGAATCAATTTTCACGTCTAAATTTAGAGAAATGACAGGAAGCACATGGCAGTTCCCTCTGGATTTCTTTCTCTGAAGAGGCAGAATGGAACAGAGGAAAGACACTGGGCTCTGGGGAAGGGGGCCTGAGGGTTCACCCTGGCTCTACCTGCATCTGACCTTGGACAAGTTATCCAACCCAACTTGGTGCCTCGGTTTATTCATCTGAAAACAAGGCCCGTGCTAGTGGCCACCTTGTATGGCTGTTGTTAGGGCTGAATGAGAGCACTCATGGAACAGCACAGGCTGTAGCACACACAGAGTGAGAGGCCGACGCACAGCACTCATAAAAGCCATTCAGAGGACCTTTCAGGAATGTGACATACTGCGGTTCTTTATTTCTAGAAGTCAAGGGTAAATTTGATTTGCAACCACTCCAGCTGAGAAAACAGGTTGAAGACTATGTTCGTTCAAAGAATTTGAGGTGAATGTTGAAAAGCTCCATGAAATTGGGACCTCCAGTGTTAATTTGAAGGAAATGATGGCCATGTTATAATTATTTCTGCTGTTGGTGTGCTGCTCATCCTTACAATAACTCATTTAGTCCTCTCAACAATCCTATCAAGTTGCTACTGATATCCTCATTTTATAAATGAAGAAACTAAAGTTCAGAGAGTTGAGGTGCATAGCTTAGAGACAGCCAGCAAGGTCAGGGGAAGCCACAGTTAGAGCTCAGCTCTTCTGATCATTCTCTCTGCAGTGTGGTGCCGAGAAGATGCTCTGGTTCTTCAAATTCAGTGTCCTGCCTCCCGTCCACCCTACAAACTGGCTCCATAAAAATGGAAACTCCAGAAATAAGGGATACATTTTTTACTCCTCAACAAGAAATAGGATTCCTCTTCTGCTGTCCAGAGAGAGGGAACCCAGGAGCTCACATTTGCACTGTGGAGTAATCAATCAGGAGTGGGCTTTGAAGGAGGAGCACAGTCACTCCCTGTACTCTACCCCATAAGGCGGTAACACTCAGTACTGCCTCTTTGCGAATAGGTTACGGTTTGAATGGAAATGAGAAAGAGAGGGATTCAGTACCCCAAAGCCAAATTATCACTTACTTTCCCACATTTCCTTTTATTATTAGTTGAGGCCACTTTGGTAGCTACACTTATATTTTGTATGAATGAGTGAATGAATGAATGTATATATGTGGATGTATATGCATATATATGTACCTTTTTTAGTATTGTCTCATATAATCAGTATTAAAATTTATAAATTGTAAAAATGCAAGAAGCAGCAGAAAAAAAATTACCTGTCAGCTCAATACTCTTTCAAACTTAGGTCAGGTTAATATTATAATTTAAAAAGGAAAGGAACTAGTATTTATTGTCTTTAGTCGCTATTAAACCACAAAGAGATATTAGGTCTGTGAACCTCAGTCAATCCCTCAAGCAGTGTGGAAGCTAGATGACATCCTGTTTTTACAGGTAAGGCTGGGAGTTGAACTCTGACTTTAACATCCACAGTCTTAACCATGAGACCCCATTGTCTCTTTTTGGGGTGCTAAGAACATTGGCTTTAGAGAAATCTCTTACCTGCTATGGAAACTTGAGAAAATTATTTAATCTCTCTTAGCCTCAGCTACTTTATCAGTTAATTACGCATAAAATCTGTTGCCTTAAAATAACATCATAATAGATACAGATTAAAAAAATAAAAATGTTGGCCAATTATTACAAGTGACATTCATTTGGAGAACAGTGAGTGTTTTGTGGTGAGGAATTCTGTGGTTGGATTGAGAGAACCTGTCTATGTGGGGCCAGTGACCAGGTAGGGAAGATGGAATGGCGTGGAAGCAATGCTCCTCAACTTGTCTCCCACTGAATCAGATGCTCCTTGGTGCCAGCAAAGAAAGAAGTCACTGGAAATATAACACATGCACAGCACATTATGACAGCCTTGAACACAAGCACCACAGCATGATATGCAGATCAAAATGAACACATCTGCAAATAAACATGGGCAAAATTGGGTCCCTAATCCTGACCATTATTATTATAGTGTTGCACATGCGGTGACTGTCTTAATTACCATGTGCTGTTCTTTTCATACTCTAGAAATGGACTGAGTGGACCACAAAATGCATTTCAAAAGACAGGTAATCTGTGGAAAGAATGGAAACTTTCTTTATCTTTGTACGAAGAGGCCTATGTTTCACAAACATGGTAAGAACAGAAAGATGATTCTTTTAGCATGGAATTCTGATTAGAAAATGAACAGGATGTATTTGTTGTATGTGTGAGTGTGTGAGAGAGAAAAGGAAGAATAAGTGAAGGGGAATATCCAAGTTGTCTAATTTCCTTTCTTCACCAAAGGATACTGAAGCAGGATCCCACACTTGAAGCCCCACACTTGCAGAAAGCAACAACTGTTTGTCTAGATTTCTTTGGGAAAGAAGATGAGAAGGATCAGGTAGTTGATATTCTGTAAAGTGCTGGCAGTATAATAAAGGGTCAGCATCTCCTTAAGAGTGAGCTGTGTCCAATGGGACATTCTAAGAGGAAGGGTTTTGGGTCATATAAGTTTGGAAAAAAAAATGTATTGCTTCACCAAAAGTCTTAAAATGCATTGGTTTCTTCAGACCTTTGGGAGTTCCTGAAACAAATCATTTGCTTCTTTATTTACAGCAGTTTTCTACTTCTAACATATATTTAGTCCAAAGATGATTTTTTTTCTTTTTCAACTAACACACTTTAGGCAATATTGGCATATAGAATTCATATTATGGTCTCAGGAATCAGGACCCCTGGAGTTTGGACCTGGCTTTGATACTAACGTGTGAGATCCTAAGAAAGAGACTCTTTGTCTCAGTTTACTCATCTGGTAAACAGGAATTGTCATTTTGGCTCAACTTACAACAGAGAGCTGCTTTGCACACAAAAATGCTATTATTGAATACATCATTATTTTCAACAGTTAGGAATAAATACTAATTTCTATGATGAATATTTGTGTCCCCCCAAAATTAATATATGGAACCCTAACCCCCAAGGTATTAAGAGGTAGGGCTTTTAAGGAGATAGTTAGGTCATAAGGGCTCCTCTCTCACAAATGGGATTGGTGTCCCTGTAAAAGAGACTTGAGGGAGCCTATTTGTCCCTTCTAGCACATGAGGGCATAGCTAGAAGGTGCTATCTATGAAGCAGAAAACCAGCTCTCACTAGACATCAAATCTGTTAGTGCCTTGATCTTGGACTTCCCAGCCTAAGAACTTGAGCAATAAATTTCCATTGTTTGTAAATTACCCAGTCTAAGGTTTTTTGTTATAGCAGTCCAAACAGACTAAGACACTAATGTAACATGTTATTGTACTTCTTGGTAGTTATATGACCATAAGAAAGCCTTTTCTAACTCCTATGTAAAAGTGTGGTTCTTTTATTATCGCAACAGAGCCTAGCTGACCCTCACTAATATAATGATATTAGTATAGTTATCCCTCAGAGCTTTATTTTCTTTACCTATAAAATGAGGATAATATATTAATTCATTGCAGGGTTGTTATAAAATAACATGAAAAACGGCCAAGTTTAAGCATAGTAAGCTCACAAAAATAGTTGATTGTTTTCATCTTCTAGTGATTTTGTAAGTTTTAATATAAAAACATTGTTAACAATACGTTTATCTGAAATTATACCCTGAGATTTTAGTAATTTACACAGTAGTAAAAATAAGAATAGGTAATAGTATTATTATTATGTCATATTTTCTATGTAGTAAGGCCCCTTCTTAGTGCTTTCCATGGATTATATTTATCTGCTTAGAGAAGTTAAGTAACTTGACCAAGGCATAGAGTTAAGTAAAAGGAAGGACTAGACCTGTATCCCAGCCTATTTGACTCATAAATCCACCATACAACTCCACCTTGCTATACTTGAAAAGAAATTGTAATTTATTTTACAACTTGAAAATTCTCTATTGCTCTTTATTTAGTAGTATAGGGCCTTGACCAAAATGTTGGGGTTACCCAAGAGGCAGGAAGCCATACAGAGTACCTGTTCTCCTTCATGAATATTTATGGTTCAGGGAGAAGTGACTCTGCTGGCAGTTCTAAGCCCTCATCATAAATCCTCATGCAGAGGCTGTTCTGGCCATAGACAGTTGCAGATTGGATCAGATGAGGAAAAATCGAGCTTAGGAAAGGTTCTTTGAAGCTGCATAATCAGATTATGATAATTTCATCAAAACCCATTTCCAAAAGCTAACATTTATCATTAGTTTGTGTACCTCCTAATTATTTCATGAGAGTTAGTTCATGCAGGAATGATAAAAAATTCTAGCTTGAGAGAGCTTTTTAATGCAGTGTGTACACAGCCAGATATATGGCATTGGCATATGGGTCACATTTGCATTTGGGGCTTATTTGAGGCAGTTTTCTGAAAATGTCAAAGGAGGTGACATATTCTAAAGGATTGATATTAGTAATGAACATTAATTTCTCTCAGATACTTTCTATAGTAAAAGTATTTTTTTTGACCCAAAATTGTAAGCGAGTGCTTGCCAAGAGTGAAAAAAAAATTACTTAAGGCACACAAAATTTAAAATATTTCCCTCAGGAGAATGTCATACACCAGAGTTGCTAAAGACTGAATTACTGAAAAAACAAAAAAGCACTTGTTAGCCTCTGTGTCCTCCTATGCCTAAATCCCTTTCTTTCTTCTGGATCTACTATCGGATTGGAGACATCACCTTCCCCGCTAGTGCTGAAGCCACAGTACTGAGAGTTATCCTTGAAAATAATCCTCTTTAACCAGATAAAAGTGGTCAGTTCCTGAGTCCTATAGCAGATGCTTTTCAAACCCATTTACTTAGCTGCCTTCTTACAGCAACTGTATTAGTTGAGGTGTTCACCTGTTTTCCATGAAACAGCAGAATGTTTTCCACATTTTAAGTGGTTTAAAAAAATCAAAAGAAAAGTAATATTTCATGACATCCAAAAATGATTTGAAATTCACATTTCACTGTGTGTAAATAAAATGGTGTTGGGACACGGCCACATTTACTGATGTATGTATTGTCTATGACTGATTTTGTGCTACATTGGTAGAGTTCAGTAGTTGTGATATAGAACATATGTTCTGCTAAGTCTAAAATATTTACTACCTGGCTTTGACAGATGAAGTTTGATGTTCCCTTCTTAGAACCAAGGCTGAAGCCTCCTCATTGTTCTCTCTACCTCTAGTCCTATACCTTCTAACATATTCTCCACACTATTTTCACAGTGATCTACCTAACATTTGCCCTGACACTGTTGTTCCTTTGTCTAAGATCCTTCATTGACTTCCCAGTTTCTACTGCAAAAATACTAAGATTCAAGGCTCTTTATATCTCAGTGCCTGCTGGCTCTTTTTTACAGTGCGTATAAATGCCCTATATGTTACGTGTCCCTTAGTCAGTTAGGAGCTGTCTTGGTTATGAGATATAACACACTCTCTGCCTCCCATGATATTCCAGGGTCCCCAGATATGCTAGGGCTTTTGTGCTTCTCTGTTCAGAAAGCTACCCATTTTCAAATTCACCTGATGAATGCCTACTTATTATTAAGTCTGAGCTCCAGTAAGACTCCTCCAGGAAACCTTCCCCGAACCCTGACTTTGTCTGGGGAGCTCCAAGCCCAGTACTTATTTTCCTCTTTCTTTTCCTTTCTTTCTTTTCTAGCCTATACCCTAATACACTGTAATTGTGGATATGTGCCTATGTTCCTGAGGACTTGTGTTTTATATTTTCCTGTTCCAAGCCCTAAGCTGAATATCTGGATAATTAGAGGTGTTCAGAGACTAATGATTCATTAAATAAGTGATGTTTTACTGCACTGATGAACTTCTACTCCAATCTCAAGACTTAGTCAACTGTTTTATGCTAATATGAGACTTCTCTGATCATCTCCATTGGTCCATTCCAGGAATACAGTCATATTTGCCTCTGGAAGTGGACTCTAAGGGATAAGGGATAGTGGTATGGTTTGGCTGTGTCTCCACCCAAAATGTCATCTTGAATTGTAATCCAAATCGTAATCCCCCATGTATTGAGGGAGGGACCTTATGGGAGGTGATTCGATTATGCAGGCAGTTCTACCATGCTGTTCTTGTGATAGTGAGTGAGTTATCATAAGATCTGATGGTTTTATAAAAGACTTTATAAGGAGATGTTCCCTACTTCGCTCTGCACTGCCCTCTCCTCCCACCACGTGAAGAAGGATGTGTTTGCTTCCCCTTCCACCATGACTGTAAGGTTCCTGAGGCTTTTCAAGCCATGTGCAACTGTGAGTCAGTTAAACCCCTTTCCTTTATAAATTACCCAGTCTCAGGTAGTTCTTGATAGCAGCGTGAGAACGGACCAATACGGATAGTCTATCAAATAAGTAATACATTTCACGAATAAAATAGTCTACACATGGAGACAGTTTCTCAAATTTTCAGTAAACATTGTGTTTCCTCTAAATTTTCATTATATCAGCTCTTTCTTCTAAAGAAACCACTTCTATTAAGCTAATTAGATAAAATTTAAGTGTCAATAAATTGATTCCTGATTTTATAATATTAAATCAATCAACTAATAAAGTTTAGTTTTTATCTAGCTTAGAGTCCAAGAAACTATAAAATAAATAGAGCTTCTGAGCTTAAGTAATATACTAAAATTATCCCTGGGAAAATCAGTTCCAACGTCCATGTTCTGTAACTCCAAAAGACGTATCTTGTATGCCTCCTTTCTTTCCATTCACCTCACTGCAGTTTTACTTCCTCTCTTTCTCTCTCTTAACCTGATTCATTTTTGAAATTTTAAATGGGTTCCTTTCAGGCCTTATACTCTACAAAATATATTTTTGCCGAAATCTCAAGTTGCAGCAATAATGACTGTAAGCCATTTGGATGGCTATTTTACAAACTAGGAAGAACAGAGAAATTACCAGTTGAGCATATAGTGGCAACTATAGCCCAGTTATACTAGAGTTTAGCCCTGAGCCATGTTTTAAGTTAAATGTCGGAGTCCCTAAGTAATTGATCTGGTCTAGGTAGAAATGGCTTATTGGTTTTCTGATTTTTAAATCAGAAAAGTTCATGAAATCAACATCTCTGCTTCTGGGGATCTATCACTCCTCTACTTTAATTACCCAGCAAAATGCAAAGCTGGAAGTGTTTGTGCTCCCTTGCACATGAACATGCACTTACACCATCATACTTCTGGGAATCTGTCGTAAGTAATACAGATGAAGAACACAGGTATATGCAAAAAGATACTCAATTCAGCTTTATTTATGCTGATAAAACATGAGAAGCCACCGAAATTGCTGTTCAGACAAAGTATGATGTATCTACTTACTGCAGTATTATGCAGCCACTAATCATTATACTCACTATATTATTACATGAGGAAAGGCTCATGATGTGGCATAAACAGGGCTGCTGACTAATGTAAATAATAATTTATTACGAGTTTGAAAACACTGTGCAAAATTCACATGGTAATTTGTTAGGATGGTTGGCTTATGGGTGCATTTTTTGGCTTATTGTCCAAATTTTCTGTGATATTTCTGTATTACTCATGATTAAATGTCAAAAGTGTATTTTCAGTGCATCATGGGCTTTGAGATTTTTTCACAGTACTACTAATATCAAGTTCTCTGAATAACACATTTAGAATGGATAATAAAAGAAAGGGATAGAGAAAGGGTAGAGATTAAAAGGGAACAAAATTATATTTGGGAAAGAAATGTCACAGGGCTATACCAAAATGATATAAAAGTGACTTACAGGAAAAAAATTAACATAGAATCCCAAGAATAGAGAGGACTTAAACGTCAGCTAATCCTACCACCCCATCTCTGTTTGGAATCCTTGTCAAGTTCTAGCTTTTGTGTTTAAAAACAATGCCCTTATTGTGATAGAAGTTAGAAAAATGGTTAACACTGGCAGCAGGCTAATGATGAGTAAAGGCACCAGGGTAAAGCTTCGGTGCCTACACGTTCTATATCTTGATTTAAGTGGGAGTCCCCTTGTAAATTTGCTGAGCTGTATATATAGGATTTGTGTTTGTGTGTATGTAATATTTCAGTAAAATTTATTTAAAAATGAAGTTTGTACCACAATATGAAACTCTTTCAGAGGACATACTGATTCAGAAGTGGGTTTGTAAGCAAATTGGATACTTAAACTGTAGTAAGACAATCAACAGAGAAGATGATTTAAGATGTGTTTATATAAATCTTAAATTATATAAATAACTTAATAATTTTATTATATATCTGATATAAATTTATATAACTATTGATATAATTTTAAAATTAGTAACATTACTAGTTCTAGCTTAAATATCTCACACAAATGAGTACACAGAAAATTATAACTATTGTTGAGGTCCATATCAGCTAGCCCTTTCACCATAGTATCTGGTGTTTTAGTCCATTTTGTGCTGCTGTAACAGAAAACCTGATACTGAGTAATTTATAAGAAAGAACAAAATTATGTATTACATTCTGGAGGCTGAGAAGTCAACATTGTCGGGATACCTCTGGAGAGGAGCTTGGTGCTGCTTCAACCCATGATGCAAGGCAGCAGGGCAAGAGAATGTGAGAGCAAGAGCAGACTGAACTGACTTTTATAACAAATCTACTCTTGCAATAACTGACACATTCCTGTGATAACAATGGTAATCTATTAATGAGGGCAGAGCCCTCATGACCTAATCATCTCTTAAAGGTTCCACTCTTAGCACTGTTGCTTTGGGGATTAAGTTTCCAACATATGAACTTTGCAGGACACATTAAAACCATAGCATTTTGCCCCTGGCTCCCAAAATGTAAGCCCAGGGAAAAATCCATTCATTTCATCCCAATACTCCCAAAGGTCTTAACTTATTCTGGCATCCACTTAAAAGTCCGAAGTCTCATCAAAATAAGATACGGGTGAGACTCAAGCTGCAATTTATCCTTTGGCAAATTCCCTTCCCACTGTGAAGTTAAAACAAGTCACATACTTCTAAAATGTGACGGCGAAACAGGTATAGGATAGACATTTCTAATCCAAATGGGAGAAATAGGCAAAAAGAAAGAAATAACAGGCTCCAAGTAATCCAAAAGAGAAAGCAAAATTAAATCTTAAAGCTTAGGAATAAACTTTCACTTCATATGCTGTCTCCTGAACACACTAGGAGCGGCAGGGGTTGGGCCCCCAAAACCTTGGGTAGCCCACCCCTACAGCTTTGCTGGGCTCAGCCCATGCAGCTCTCACAGGTTGGGAGTCTCCTGCCTGCAGCTCCCCTAGGCTGATGCTGCATGCTGGTAGCTCTACACTTTTGGGATCTTAGGAGTGGCCCCACTTCCACGGCTCCCAGGGTATTGCCATAGTGGGGGCTCTCTGCAGTGGCTCTGCCTCATGACAAGTTTCTGCCTGGACCCCAAGGCTGTCTGACAGATTTTTTGAAACTTAGATGGAGGCTGCATAGCCCCACAGTTGCATCTGTAGAGTCAGCTCCAAGTGTTTGCTACCAAGGCTTTCTGCTTGTACCCTCTAGAGCTGTGGCATACATGAGTTATACCTGGCATGAGCTGAACCTGGGTTCCCTTGAGCCATAGCTGGGGCAGCCAAGGAGTACTGTACAAATTCAAGGAGCAGAGTCCCCTGGGTAGCAAATACTGGGGTCTCACAGGCACCTCTCTGGAAACCTTGCGCTCAAGATCCTAGCTTGCCTCGAAAATATCTGAAATGCTTTGAGGGTCATGCTCTTATTGTCTTGATAAATGAAACCTTGCATCTTTCTATCCATATCAATCTCTTTACCAAATGGTCCCAAATATGCTTTTTTATTCTTTGCATGGCCAGGTTAAGAGTTTTCCAAATATTTCTAATGTTTATTCCCTTTAATTATAAATTCCACCTGGAAATCATTTCTCTCTTCTCTCATTTTACTGTAAGCATCCAAAAGAAACCATCCAGCACCTTGAATGAGTCATTGCTTAACTTTCTCCTGCCAGATATCCCAGTTCATCACTCTTAAATTCTACCTTTCATACAGCTCTAGGGCATGGACACAATTCTGCCAAGTTCTTTGTAACTATGTAACAAGGATCCAGTTTCCAATACCTTGTTAGTCATTTCTGTCTGAGGCCTCATCAGAATGGCTTTTACCATCCATTTACCATTTACTTTCATATAGCTGCTCAGAAATGTGCTGCTATTGAATGGAAAAAATGAATCAAAGTTTTCATGAAGTAATAAATGGTATGTATTTATTTAAGGCAAATTTAGAGATGTTATGTTCCACTCAAGGTGGGCAACTGGGGATAGACAGAAGAGAGTCTTGGTCATGGGTTGTAATCAGTGGCAAGCTTTGCTATAGACCTGGGCTGAGTATAGCTTGTCAGCAGATAGCTCTCTCAGTTTATTTTTTTTTTCTTTCTAGATTACAGCTCCCTTTCTAACCTCAGGAAGACCTAAAAAATTCAGAAAAAGAAATTTGGACAACTCTGTATTGGTACTACTAAAACCCTAATGTTTATGCAAGATGACCTATAATGTGTTTTAGGATATATTATCATGTTTGATTTTGAAAACAATCCTAATATTGGTGTGCTACTGATATAACTGCACCTAATACTTATATAGCTAGTAAGTGATCATGTAGAGACTAGAAGGCAAGTCTTCTTTCACAACACAGAGGTGGTGCCTGGGAGCCTAAAATGTTTGACCTAGTTAGTGTATTCTAGCCGTTCATAGCCTGGAAGAGCTACAGTCTAGATTTAATACTCTCTAAATTTAAAGACAATTTATTAGCCGTGCATAAGAGTTATTCAGAGAAACATAACCAATGGAATGCACGCACACACACACACACACACACACACACACACACACACATATACATAGATAGAAAGGAATTTATTATAAGAAAGTGGCTCACATGATTCGGGAGGTTTATAAGTCCTAAGATCTGCAGGGTGAGTCAGGCCGGCTAGAGATCTAGGACAGCTGTTAATTTGGCTTGAGTCCAAAGGCGGAAAGGATTAATGTTCCAGCTCAGAAAACTCAGAGGAAGAGCTCCCTCTTACTCAGACTTTTTGTTCCATTCAGGCCTTCAACTGATTGGACTAGGCCCACTCACATTAGAGAGGACAATCTGCTTTACTCAATCTACTAACTCAGATGTTAATCCCATCCAGAAACACTCTTATGGACATATTCAGAGTAATGTTTGATTAATTATCTGGGCACTCCGTGGCTTATTCAAGTTGAAACAAAATTAACCACCACAAGCAGCACTGTAATAATTTCTTATACATTTATCTCCAAGATACTCTAAGCCCCTCAAAGGCATGGTCTGTACCAACAGCTCTTTTTACCAGAACATAGAACTAAATATGTGCTCATTAAATGCTTACTGACCTGAACTATGTGGAATGCCACCTATATTCAGAGTATTACTAGGTAATGCATTCCTGAATCCACAGAAAGCCGTATAGTCCTCTGACAGTATAGCAGTAGAAAATAACAACAATGATGCTTTTATTTTTGTATGGAAGCATTTTTAAAAGAAGAAAAAATGCCTTGGGGGAGATTACAAAATATAGATCATTTTTTCTCTTCAATTGAAAGACTTGCTCCATATTGAGCAAATGTTTATTTAGGCAGTTGCTGGGGCGGGGGAAAGATAAATAATGTGTACAGTAGAACTCATTTAGACTAATATCTGGGAAAGGGGCTGATCTGCTAAGTGAACAGATGTTTCATGTGCTGAACCAAATTTGAATGCTGACTGAATCATAATGAAGCTCTGGATGCAGGAATAGGACTGATAAAAGAACACTGTAACCTGTTACAAGAACTCTATGTACTAGCAAGCAAGATAGTGAAGATGCCACCAGGATCTAGAACACAAGGTCCACCTGACTGTGTCAAAATGGATTCACCTGCACCAAGGATAAAGTGTTATAAATGAAGAGGCAATATTATGTTATTAACGGGAAGTTTTAATAGTAAATGAAGTTTATCTGTTACCATTAAGAGCTGAGCATATACCATACTTCATACAAAGTACATTACAGATATTGCCATCTCAAATTTATGTAATGCTCACACATTAGATGGCCTTATTTTACATATAACAAAGCTGAAGTTCAGAGAGGTTAAATATTTACCCTGCATTATACAGCTAATAAGAAGCAAATCTGGTTTAGGAAGCAGTACTATGTGACTACTAAGTCAAGGCTATTTGCACTCTAATTAGCTGCATCACCCTACAGTGAAAGAGATTTGCTGAGCACATAAGCACAGTGCCAGGTAGGAAGAGGAGTGTTGAGGAAAGGGCACCGTATGGCTCCCCAGGATCCATCCAACATATATGCTACCCCTGCATCCCAATGTCAGGCCTCAGCAACCTGGAGGAAACACCACTGAATGCTTAGAAGTGGTATAGAACTATCATCAATTATAAAACATTAATCACAGTTCTACTGGGTTCTCAGAAACGCAAACAATGTCATGTTTCTGAAGTTGTAAATAAAATTGGCTGGGCACAGTGGCTCACGCCTGTAATCCCAGCACTTTGGGAGGCCGAGGCGGGCGGATCATGAGGTCAGGAGATCGAGACCACGGTGAAACTCCGTCTCTACTAAAAACACACAAAAAAGTTAGCCGGTCGCGGTAGCCGGGCTACTCGGGAGGCTGAGGCAGGAGAATGTCGTGAACCCGGGAGGCGGAGCTTGCAGTGAGCAGAGATCGCGCCACTGCACTCCAGCCTGGGCGACAGAGCGAGACTCCGTCTCAAGAAAAAAAAAAAAAAAGGGAGAACTGAGTCCAATTTCATGAGGAGATTTACTATAACCATAGCCAAGCAATCCAGACCCCTGTACCATCTTGACCATGCTTCACCCATGCCCGAGCACTTAGAGTGGGGAATGGGTGGCTTCAGGCTATTAACATTGTAAAAGTCTCATGAACATTTCTGGAATTGCTATGGGCTGGGCAGGTACCTTCTAAGCATCTATATGGATGTCATTTAATTATCACAACAACATTTTGAGATACCTACTTTTTCATTATTTTCATTTTACAGAAAAGAGATTTTCAGAGGGTTAAATATGATTCTTTTAAGAAACTTACAGTACAGAATGGAGAGAAATTCTGTAATACAACATAGCTCATAAGTGAGGAACGGCTAGATGTCCACCCTAAGGCGGTGTCCACCCTTCTCTTTTTCTCTAAACGTTTTTACTTAAGACAGGGACTAATTCAAGATTCCAGAAAAACTCCAAAATACAGCCTCGGGGGCTTTGCCATGATAAGGTGTCGTGCTTCAGTGACTGTACCCCTCTTTGCATTTCCCATGCCATGTACCAAATTCTTAGAGCTGAGCTGTTGTCTTTCTGATTCTCTCATTTAAAACCACTTTTTAAAGATGAAGAAACTGAAGCTCAAATCAGTGAATTAACTTTCCCCAAGTAGCTCAGATACTTAAGACTCATCATTTGAATGTAGGCCCAAGTCTGATTTCTAATCTCTTTTTATCACACACGATGGTGTGTTGGGTAAGCTTGTGAAGGTGGGTTGGGTCCGGGCTGTTGGTTGGGTCCAACATTGATGAATATTGATTGCCAGGGAAGGTGTTTACCCCTTATCCTGGACTCTGTGGAAAACTTCCTTTGGTTCTAAAGCAGGGAACTAGTCAGGTCTTTATCACAGTAAAGCAATTTTGGCTGCAACATGGAAAGTGGGCTAGAGGCAGAGCTATCAGAAGCATGATGCACTAATTTATATTCTCACCAGCAGTGCAGGAGAGCTCCTTTTCTCATCCTCACAGGCATTTGCTATTTTTTTTTTGTCTTTTTAATAACAGCCATTCTATCTGGAGCACAATGATATTGCGGTTTGATTTGCATTTTCCTGATGATTAATGATGTTGAGCATTAAAAAAATATACATACCTATTGGCCAATTGTACGTCTTAAGAAATGTCTATTCAGGTTTATTGCCTATAAATTAGTATAGCTATTATAAAAAACAGCATAGAAGTTACTCAAAAAACTAAAAATAGAACTACCATCTGATGCAACAATCCCACTACTGGTTATCTAACAAAAGGATATCAAAAGGAAAATAATTCAGCATGTCAAAGAGATACTTGCACCTCCATGTTTATCGCATCACAATTCCTAATAGCCAAGATATGAAGTCAATTTAAGTGTCCATCGACAACATTGATGAATGGATAAAGAAAACATGGCATATATACACAATGGAATATTGCTCAACCATAAAAACTGAAATCATGTCATTTGCGGCAATATAGATGGAACTGGAGGTCACTATATGAAGTGAAATAAGCTAGACACGGTAAGACAAATATGGCTTCTCCTCACTCATACGTGAGAGCTATAAAGGTAGGTTTCATGGAGGTAGAGAGTGGAATGATAGTTACTAGAGGCTGGGGAGGGTGGGTGGCTGGGATGAAGAGAGGTTGGTTAATGGGTGCAAACATAGAGTTAGACAGAAGAAATAAGTCCTAGTGTTTGGCAGCACAATAGAGTGACTATCGTCAATATATTGTCTATTTCAAAATAGCTAGGAGATGTAACTAAAAAATAAAATTCTAAGCCCCCCAACTGACTGGTGGACCCCTCTCTTGGTCAAGCACATTCCAAAGTAAACCGGAAAAATTAATTCTGGCCACGATGGGGTCGGGGCAGGGGTTAGATATGCCTCATTTAACCCTCCTCCCTTTGGAATTCAGGCACAACTGACCAGTATTAACATTAAAACAGATCTGGAGACTGACAAAACAGACCCCGTGTAGCAATAAGATACCAAATTCCAACCTGTCTGTAGTATAGCATCACATGATAGCAGGCTCTGAAAGAAACTGAAGTGTTTTAACCAAAAATGTATTATTTTGAAATGGCTCTGCAAAGCTGTCTCTTGTGGGAAAAATCTACATTCTGTAGAGAATTACATTCCCTTTCCAAGTCTTTTTTCTGATCCAGGAGAGAATTAACTAAGAGTCTGGCACTTTTTAGGTCTGATAAGAGCTCTAAAGTTTTTTGTTGTTGTTGTTGTTGTGTGTGTGTTTTTTTTTTTTTTTTTTTTTTTTTTTTTTGAGACGGGAGTCTCGCTCTGTCGCCCAGGCTGGAGTGCAGTGGCGCGATCTCTGCTCACTGCAAGCTCCACCTCCCGGGTTCACGCCATTCTCCTGCCTCAGCCTCCCCTGCTCACTGCAAGCTCCACCTCCCGGGTTCACGCCATTCTCCTGCCTCAGCCTCCCCAGTAGCTGGGACCACAGGTGCCTGCCACCACGCCCGGCTAATTTTTTTGTATTTTTAGTAGAGACAGGGTTTCACCATGTTAGCCGGGACGGTCTGGATCTCCTGACCTTGTGATCCGCCCACCTCGGCCTCCCAAAGTGCTGGGATTACAGGCGTGAGCCACCGGGCCCGGCCAAGAACTCTAAAGTTCTCATCTGCATAATAACTTCTGGAGGTTTCATCTGCATAATGAAAACCTTGGTCTCCACATCCTCTTACCTTAACTTAGACACTCCTTTCTATTGATTCCAGGTCTTTAGATAATAACTCTTTCAACCAATTGCCTATTAGGAAATCTTTGAATGCACCTATGACCTGGAAGTCCTCACTTTCCTGGACCAAACCAACGTATACCTTACGTGTATTGATTGATGTCTGTGTATAAATTCTGTCCCCCCTTAAATGTATAAAATCAAGCAGTAAAACAATCACCTTGGGCACATATTCTCAGGAACTCCTGAGGCTATGTCGTGAGTCATGGTCCTCACATTTGGCTAGGAATAAATCTCTCCAAATATTTTAAAGAGTTTGACCCTTTTTTATCAACAAAGAGAAGATGGAAATGTTCTCCACACAAAGAAATGATGAATGTGTAAGGTGATGGGTATCCTAAATATCCTGATTTGATCATTAGACATTGTAGGCATGTATCAAAATATCATGTTCCCTACAAATATGTATTATGTATCAATAGAAAACAATTACAATGCTGCAACAGCTGCCTTGGTGCATGAGGATGATCAAAGCTGAGGAAGCAGCCAGGAAAAAGCCATATTGTAAAAGATATTGAGTGTCTATACATTAGTCACCATGAAATTAGCAAATTAAGGCATGATGTCACTGCAGTGAGAATGAGAAACAAGCATGTGAAACTGAATGCAGTGCCTGCCATTACCTTTGGCAAATGCTTTATTGTTACCGTGGCTACTGCTGTTGTTAAAATGTGTCATGCATTTTTCTAGACAAGCTTTTTGTGACTTTTTCCCTTAGTCAGGCATTTCTTCTGCCTTCTTTCAATCTTATGCAATCACCTCTTGAAATCAAGAGTACCTCTTGAAATCACTAAGTCACAGAGTTCTCATAGCTAGCAGGAAACCTGTAGATGACACAGACCATCCTTCGTTGCCCTCCAACTTCTACTTTGCCAAGAAGAAAGTTGAGGTTCAATTGGGTGATGGGGTAAAGGTGACTCCCTGTTAAACTCTAAGGCTGCCTCTTAGAGATCCAGGATGGTATCCTTGATTCCAGCCTACCACTTTGGATCAAATGCTCCTTTCTCTGAATTTCCATGCCTTGCTGCTGGTTCCCTAATTGACTACTGTATTTGTTATTCTAATACTATTTGTGAGTCTTTCTCCCCGACCCCACTTGGCTGTGACCTCTCCAGGGAAACATCTCTATTGCTCAGACTAAGTCCACCGATAAATATGATTCCAAAATCTTCTACATACATTTTGCATATCTCACTTCATATTTTTTTATTTATATTTTTAAAAAATGTGTATCTTTCCTATGAAACTAACATTTTAGAGGATGGGGAAATTTCATATTTTATTCCCTTTCCACCACACATCATAGTAAGTTTGGTAGCACCATGAAGGTGAGTCTGTATCCCTAATGTACCTTTAATGGCTCCACAGTGCTTGGCCCACACTGGTACTTAGTAAATATTTGATTAATCAGTGTATTAATCTCTGTATTCTCTTTGTGAAATTAGTGCCTGATACATAGCAGGAGGTCAATATGTATTTCGTGAATGCATATTATTATTGCTTAATTTTTGTATAATTACTTATGTAGTTTTTAAAATTTGTGTTTCAACACTAAAGTGTTGAACACAGCACAAAGTATGTGAATCCTAAAAGGATGACACATTTTTTTCTAAGAGAAAAAGAAATCCAACTATTTTGAATTTGCCTCAAGTTTAACACTTAATATTTAAGCCTGACTTATTTACCATCTGAAATGTCTTTTTCTTTTTGAGAAAGATGTGATGTGACAACAGTCACTTTCGCTCACTTAAATGTATGACAGAAATGACTTTGTAATTTAAAATAATAAAAATTATTGTCTTAGATTTATGGTTTGGTGAGGCTCAAATATAACTAGTTTCTCATGTGTGGCCACATAATTTATACATGTCCAGATGTATAAATGTGAAAAAATAAATTACAGAGTAAGCCTCAGAAATATGTTTATTATTGTTGTTATTATTACATTGATTACCATTTTATTATTTCCCACCTTACCTCTGCTCTCCTGGGTAGAGTGGTTTCATAAGATGAGAGGGTAGAATATGTGTTGAGTAGAGATTCAGTGAGTCTTTTGAAACAATGCCATGAATTTGCAAATTCTTATTTTTCAGAAAAGTAATGAGGAAAGAGCATATGATTTGGTGTCTAGCAAACGTAGATTTGAGATTCAACTGAGCTGCTGCTTTATTATTATTATGTTTCAATCTGTTAAACACAGGCATGCACACACAAATAATAATATTTATCCAGCCAGTTGAGACCAGCTACCTAGTGTGCAGGGCCCATTTCAAAGTGAAAATGCGAGGGCCCTTGTTGAAAAATTATTAAAAATTTCAAGATACGAAAACAGCACATTAAATCAAGTGTGGGGTCCTTCGAAGCCTGGGTACTATGTGACTGCACAGGTCATAAGGCCTATGGAGCTGACCCCGCAGACAGTTACATTAACAGAGATTAAGGAACATGCCTCACACTGTCTGACTCATAATAAATATGTATTTAACAAGTTTTAGTTTCTCCAGGTCTATTTTCAAGTTGCTGTCACAAGAGCCATATCAAGTCAAATGCATTCAGTCACTTTTGTCAGAAACAGATTCTCTATACCATGGGGACAAGGATGTTTCAAATATAATCCATTTAACTGCCTCCTTGAGGACAAAATGGGGGGAAAAAGAAGAGTAAATAAAACCCACAGTGTCCAAGGTTTGAAGAATTGAGGTGTTCCAAATGGTAGCTTGTGCCTTGTTGTCCTGTTCCCACTTGAAAGCTCACACTTTAAAACCATGTGCTACCTGGAATTCCAGATGGCCAAATTAAGGAACCAAACCACCAAACAGAAGGTTCTGGTTCTCAACTATGATAATCTTAGGCATGTTAGGAAGGGGGTGTGGAGTGGCATATTTCCTAATGAAGGTGGAAAAAAACCCAGAACTGATTTGTCCCAGATGGCCACAAAAATGGGATTTTCTGGCTTTTGTAGCACCTCTCCCCATCTCTAAATTCAGCTGTGGCATTAAAGAAGATGCTTGGTTCATGTAAGACTGTAATCATGGAGTCTTACAAAACCTTCTCCTTGTGGAATGTGTATGACATCTGGAATTAAAGGGGTATTCTCTTTTAATCACTGTTCAATCTTCCACAGGGATAAATGAGAATACGGGTAGCTTCCAGCTGCCCAAACTGATTTAGTTAAATAATGTAATCTATTTGTACACAAATGTGGAATAAATGTCACTGAAGTTCCTTAGCGTGCACTTATAATGAGTTATCCCTTCTCAAGGTAATTAGGAATGTTTAGTTTTTTTCAAATGCGTATCAAGCCTCATGATTGCCAATGAGCCAGAGACAACCTACATTAGCCTCCCACAGCTGCTGACCTCTGCAACCACAGAAAAACCATTTCTGTCGGGGATAAGTGTCTCCTTTAAACTGTAGGTTTGGAGTGATTTTTTTTTTATTCCCTTTAAAATGTAATGTTCTAATACAGCCTCCATAGACCCAAGCCTCCTCAGAGCTAGTCAGGAAAAGGCAATCAGAATTTTAAGCTTAACAAGATCTTAGTAATCATTTAGTTTAAACATTATTTTACCAGTGGGGGAATCTGAGGCCCAGAGAAGTTATATGCTTTGTCCAAGCCCACACAATGATTCAGTGTCTGACCTTAGACTGAAACCCTGGATTCTGACATCCAGGTATCCACCTTTTTTCATACACAGCCTATTTTAGTCTGTTCAGGCTGTTATAACAAAACACTATAAAGTATTAGCATATAAATAAGAGAAATTTATTCTCATACTTCAGGAGGCTAGAAGTCCAAGGTCAAGGTCCTGGCAGATATGGTTCTAATGAGGGCCTGTTTCTAATAGATGATACTGTTACAGTAGGTAGCTAGTAAGACATGAGCAGGGCAGAAGAGGCCCCCTCCCCACCCAACCACAAATGTCAGACAACCATCAGGTGATGGTCAGGGGGTTGTTAAACTGTGTCGCTAAAATAATAATTGGTCACAGCTGGCGCCAGGGAATGGCAGTCTCCCAATAGATAGAAACACCTGAAACTGGTGATCAGCAGCTTCCAGATAAGATCTCAGGAGATGGGCACTCAAGTGTGTGCACTAAAAGGCAAAATGGCAGTTTAGCTGGTTCTTGACCTTCCTCTAGGAACACTTGACTGGTAAGGGAAGAGTGCCTCTAGCGAGCACGCATACAACTCCAGTAAACATATTGTGCATGAGGCCCCTCCCAAGCACTGGTGGGCCACTGTGCATGAGGACAGCCCACCCCAAGGGAAGAATCAGGGGAGAGGGGGTGCAATGCCCAGAAATATGCCAACGTATAAAACTCCAAGTCAAAAATTAAACCGTGCACTGGACTCTCTCAAGGCACCTGCTTGGCCCTCTTCCAAGTGTACTTTGTTCCTTCTCTATAATTTTTAATAAACTTTCACTCCTGCTCTAAAATTCGCTCAGTCTCTCACTGTGCCTTATGCTATTCGGTTGAACTCTTTCACCTGAGGCGGCAAGAATTGAGGTTGCTGCAGATCCATACAGATTCGCTGCCACTAGCATACTTTGGTGCTCTGTGACTTGGGTTAAGTTCCGTGGTAATAGTACCTGCTAGCTGCATTCTCACATGATGGAAGAGAATCACTCCCATCCAAGACACTAGCTCCCTGTAATGTCTTGTAAGGTATACTTTAATGAGGGCAGAACCCTCATGACCTAGTTACCTCCCAAAAGGCCCCACCTCTTAATATCATCACCTTGGGAGCTAGGATTCAACTTATGAATTTTGGAGGGAACACAAATGTTCATACAATAGCACAATCCTTCTTATCCTTCATCTTCTTAAAATGAAAAATTACAGGATGAAAAAGGCAAAGCTCTATGGAGAGGAGAACCTGACCTCTAAAGGAAAGGCAATCAGATGCCAGGCAGTGCCAGGCCAAATGTGCTCTGTATAATCTTGAGCAAGTTACCTCACAAGTGAGAGCCTCAGTTTCTTTACCAGAAAAATGGGACTTTGACCTGATTTCTAGAGATTTTTCTGTTTGATCATAGACATTTTTCCATCATACGCTCCTTTGGATATTTGTGACTCCTTTACCTTCATTTCTTGTTCTTAAATACATCTTCCCAAGGATCTGATTTGCTAAATCACCAAATTAAAGAAAAAAAGAAGCTACTAAAAAGATAAAGGCTAGATGAAGGCTAAATGAAGAATGATTTCACATAGTATCTTCTTTTGAGAGACAAAGCATGCAAGAAAGAAGACATAGCAGAAACCACCAAGTCAACAAAATGAGATTGTGCCTTTTGCTGATGAATATCCATCTTACTGTTTTGGTCAGATAACTGTGGAAGAAGCAATTCTATCACCTTGTGCAAAATGGATGCCTCTGCAGCTACTCATGGCTTTCATGAGAAAAAGTAATCATTGTGTGCTATTTGAATGTCTTCATAAATATAATTTATAGCTATGATACTGATCAGTCTTGCACAGTCTTAGAAGATCAATAGTGCCATGTTCATTAGTCCTGCATTGAACAGCTCTCAAACTTTGGCCAGAAGATGGTAACTGTTTTTAATGATATTTTTGGCAGTTGAAATCAAAAGTGGATTCTGTGTCACTAGTAATTTCCTTAGTTATCTAAGGGCTTTTTTAATTTCCTCATTCAACCATGAAGGTCAAAGTGTTGCTATCTACAAAGACAACTGTGGCTGCATTGGACTCTTAGGACAAAGAATATGATTATTTGTATATAGTTGGATATAGCTGCTCAGCGATAGTTGTTTTTACTCAAGCTCTATGGCAATGGGAAGGTTGTACTCCATGCCTGGAGGCATCATGAACATTTTTGAAAGAAAAAGAATAGACCTGGGTTCTAATTCCAGCAGTACTATTTGCTTACAGGTTTTGAGTTTTGGAAGTTATTTAATGTGGTAGATTGTTCCTTGGATGACCCCCAGTAAACTACTCCTCTCAGTATGCATGCTGTAGTATAGTCCCCTTGAACCTGTGATGCTTTAATCATAAGCTATATTTTTAAACATGGTCTGTTTTAACCAACAGAATGTGGTGGACCTGACATTCTGCCACTTGTTGAACTAAATCTTAAGGCTTGGAAGCTTCCACTTTTGCACTTTGTGGAAAGATGGCCACCAAATAAGAAGTCTGACTACACTGAGACTGCCATGCTGTGAGGAAGCCCAAGCAGTCACGTGGTGAGGCACACATGGCAGAGGACTAAGGGTGTGGTAGCTACTGCATTTGAGCTCCCAGTGGGTGATATGCACCAGCTACAGTCATGTAACCAAGAACACTTTGTACCTTCTACAGTACCTTTGGCCAGTACCCCACCGACACAACATGAAGCAGAAGTGCTAGCTTAACCAACAGCATTATAAAACAATAAATCGTGTTAAGTCACTTTTTTGGAGTGTCTTTTTAAATAAAGCAGTGCAAATCAGAAAGAGCCAACCTCTCAAGCTTCCCTCTGAAGCCTTTTCCCATATGGAAAATGAAGTATATGGCTAGAGAATCTGTAGACTGCATCAAAATACTTATGGCATCCAACCCCCTGATCAATCTTGCCTCAGTCAGTATTTCAGGCTTCCTCTTCTTTGACTGACCCTAGAAATGACACTCCAGCCACTTTGGCCATTTAGAATTCTCCAACATTTGGACATTTGCAATTTTTTGAACAATTGAACTACTTGACACTTCATAACAGTATAACTTCATTCTTCCTTTTCTCTTCTGTTTCTCTGACATGAAGACCTTTCCCTATCAGGTAAAATGCCATCTCTTCTGTGAGCTTTTCTCACTCACCCTTGCCCACCTGCCACCTACAACTCCTGACAAAGTAATTGCCTCTGGGCTCCTAGAAATGTTATATTAAGGAAGACTTTTTACCACAATTATAGCTAGGAACATATGGCAAATTCCTTCAGGGGCCAAACTAAAAGATGTTCTTACATCTCTCTAACCATTAGCAATCTTTCTTTTTTATTTAGAAGTTTTTTTAAAAAAAAATTATGAGCTTTAAAAAATTAGAATATTGCACATACACACACACACATACACCTAGCAGTTATTAAATGCCCATTGTGCACTAGGAATAGTGCTAAATATTTTGTTTGGATTACTTCTTTGAATCTTTACAGTAACCCATATTAGGCAAGTGCTATTACTATCTTTATTTTACACATAAGACTAAGTCTTAGATGGTTTTTAGTGACTTCCCAGGGCTGCCTAACTAGTGAGGGCTTGGTCAGGGTTTGAACCGAGGCTGCATGATTCTGGAGACAAAGACTTTCCACTGCTACTCAGAGTCCTTGTCCCTTCAATTGTGTGTCTCAGCTAGGTTTGGAGTACTTTGCACAGAGCAAGTGCTCAATATTTACTGAATAAACAAATGAGTTAATATGTGAGGAAATGCATAATTCACTTCAAATGCATAGACAACATTTCAAATCATAATATGGGAAAAGCAAGCATACTTTACACTTCCCAAAACCACTGCTTAAACCAAAGTATAGCAGCACATGGACTCTCCTCATCACTTGCACTCAGAGAGTTATTAGCTATTAGAAGAGTTGCTTGACCCTGGGGATGGCACCTTGTTTGTTTCTTAATTTCTGAGAAACGGTTCCTGGGGCACAACACTCTGATTCCCCTCTGGCTTGACTAGATGACCAGTGGTCTTTGACATAAGCAAATGGGTTTACCCAGTTCTCAAGGTGTTGTAACACTTCCTTACAGCATATTTACAAACGGCCTCATCTGAGAAACTGTGAGTGAGGAAAGCAGCATAAGAAGAAATAAATGTGCATTAGCTGCAGGGCTATATGGTAGGCACAGGCCTACATGGTCTCAGGAATGTTATCTTACTTAATTGTCATTAAAGTTAAAGATAAGATCCAGAGAATGTAAGCTCTTGTCCCCATGCCACACGGCTGGTGAACAGAGGTGTCAGAGGGTGTTTCAAATGCAAATCTGTCTGATCCCAAACTGGTGCTTCTTCCACTCCATCACACAGCTTCTCATGATCTCTATTTTTGGAGAGTCCATATGTCATATATACATGACAATTATCAAATACACAAGATGCCTTATAATTAAATGCCATCTGAGAGAGTTACAGAAATGTGTTATTATATGGATCTGAGGAAGAAGTCACTGTGTGCAAATGTAGTCTGAGAAGGCTTCCTAGTTGAGGTGAGACTTGATACAGAACTCGAGAGATAGCCAGGGGGTGGGATATTGATGGACTCTTGGCCAAAGAGCATGCACAGTTTTCTTTCTTTTTCAGCCAAGAGCTATTACAGAAAGTCCACTATGTGTAAGTCACTTTCCTAGGTGTCATACCTGACACCTAACAAGTAAGATGAGGTTGCTTTACATTGTCTCTGTGCCTGCGTGCACACACGCTTTTCCTTCCACCTACCATGCTCCCCCTGAGATTGTCCACCTGCTGAATCTCTCATTGCTAATGATCCAGCCTCAGCATCTTTTGCATTTATCTAGTGGTTAAGTCTGTGGGTCACTGAGTCAAATTATCAAGATTCGAATCCTGGTTCTACTAGTAAGTAAATGTATGAGTCTTGGGTAACTAACTTCTCTAGACTCCTCATTTGTAAAATAAAGTCACATACCTCATAATAGTGAGACAAAAATTAATTCAGTTAATATGCATAAAGAAATCAACATAGTACCTGACAGTTTTCTGGGTCAACAAACATTATCTGGAAAAATAATGGCGATGATGATGAAGAAGGTAGAAGAGGAGAAAGGGGAGAAGAGGAAAAAGGGATGAGGACAGGGGAAGAGAGGTGGGAGAAGGAGAGAGAAAACAAAAAGCAACTTTTTCTGACAACCCCATAACCCCCAACACTGGACTATGCTCCCCTTGATCGTCTACTGTTCAAAGCACAGGCGACTTACGGTTCTGTCATCCTGGCTCCTCCTCACCCCCATCAGATGGTGAGCTTCTTAAGGACAAGAACAATTATACGTACATCTGGATTTCTGCTGTTTGGCATCAGCTAGGCTTTCAGCAAATCCTCAATAAAAGAGTATTGAATGAGTTTATGAAGTACTCATAAATATGTTATTGCCTATGGTTGCCCAAAAGGGAAAAAGGGAAACAAATGGTTACCAGAAAGATAGAATGTTTTAATGTGCACTAGTAGAAAAATACTTCTTCTAGAGGGAAGTAAAAATTGTTAGAGGAATTGGTGGGGTGAGGGGGAAGAAAAATGAAGCTAGTTATTTGAATACCTGGCATGTGGCAACCACTATGCTGGGACAGCTGCAAATACTAGCTGTATTGATACTACATAAAGATCCCATTAATTCCTGCTTATTATAGGGCTGATGATCACATACAATAGTGACAGTAATGTTAAAAATAGAAGTGATTTATTAAATTCGTTTAATTGGATTGTTCCTGGTAAATTTCTGGTTCTCTTCTGTACTTTATTGTATTTGATTCTCAGAAGGATTATTTGTGGTAGGTATTATTATGTCCATTTTGTAAAAGAGGAAAGCAGTTCAGGGAAGTTAAATTACTTTATCAAAGTTATGCAGCTGGGCAAGAACAGAGCCAGTTCTGAATGAATCCAAATCAATGGTCATTTCTATGAAGTGATGGCAGCACTACCACCCAGATGTCAGCACCCTCTGGATTCCATCACCAAATATTGGGTCAAATCCATTACCACAAAGTCAGGGTTGACCCATTGTGTTGCTGAACAGATGCAACTACTTTGTCAATCTTTGGCTTATTTAAATCTCACTTGAAAGGGAAAATAAATGAGATGAGAGTGTTGAAATAGATCTATAAAAACAAATAGTGCTAAAGAGACAGCAAAGCAGTGCCTGGGTTTTCCCGTAAACCTTAGGAGGATGCTGTGACAATGTGCCTTTGGACCTCCAACTACAGGGACCTCCAACATGGGGCTTTGGCTGGGCTGCCCCTGCCCAGCCAAGGCCCCGGCTGCTGCTCTTTGAAATCCATTGCTGAGTTAGCTCCAACGCTGTGTTTCCCATGGGCTGTTCCAGTTCAAGGACAGAACGTGGCAGGGACATGAAGGTTATTATTCTATTCAGTTAGTATTCCACTAAGGCTACTATTCCAGGTAACTAGTTCCTGTGATACTGAAATTCCTTTGAACTGACTTTGGCTTGAGGGCTCCCCAGTAGCTTTGCCAGACCTCATTTAGATTGTGTGGCAGTCAAGGATATTTCCATTCAAACTTCTCTCCCTCTCTCCTTCACTTGAGGTCACAGATTTTCTTGCAATCTGTTGGCTGTCTCAGTATTCCCTGGTAACCTCCCTATTATTTCTCAAACAGCCTTCTTTCCTAATGAGATCCTTTTATTTTTATTTTTTAAATTTAAGTTCTGGGATAAATGTGCAGAACATGCAGGTTTGTTACATAGGTATATGTGTGCCATGGTGGTTTGCTGCACCTATTGGCCCATCCTCTAAGTTCCCTCCCCTTATCCCCGACCCCCAACAGGCCCTGGTGTGTGTTGTTCCCCTCCCTGTGTCCATGTGTTCTCATTGTTCAACTCCCACTTATGAGTAAGAACATGCAGTGTTTGGTTTTCTGTTCCTGTGTTAGTTTGCTGAGGATGCGGCTTCTAGCTTCATCCATGTCCCTGCAAAGGACATGATCTCACTCCTTTTTATGGCTGCATAGTATTCCATGGTGTATATGTACCACATTCTCTTTATCCAGTCTATCATTGATGGACATTTGGGTTAGTTCCATGACTTTGCTATTGTAGACAGTGCTGCAATAAACATGCAATTGCATGTGTCTTTACAGTAGAAAAATTTATATTCCTTTGGGTATATATACCCAGTAATTGGATTGCTGGGTCAAATGGTATTTTCTGGTTCTAGGTCCTTGAGGAATCGTCAGTGTCTTCCACGATGGTTGAGCTAATTTACATTTTCACCAACAGTGTAAAAGCATTCCTATTTCTCCACAGGCTTGCCAGCATCTATTGTTTCTTGACTTTTAAATAAAGGATCCTTATATATTTAATCTGGTTTAGGGTCTTCTTCTTGGAGGACCCAGACTAATACAATGCAGAGCAGCTGTATCTCAGCAGATTATCTCACAGACTGATTCAGTTCTGCCAATGATTTTTATGCAAAATGAGAAAATAAAACTTAAAAAGGATGACTTGTATGGAATATCAGCTCTCTTAAAATATAAAAAGAGGTTTTTAAAATTTGTTATATGTTTTGCTTACAGGATCTCATTTATTCCTGACTATAACACTGTGGTGTAATATTTTCATTGTCCAGATGAACAATCTAAATCTCAAAAAACTTATAACACTTTCCCAAGTTTACACAGTGATTTGGTAGTGAGCTAAGCTCCAATCTATGTCTTACGACTCCCAGTATTTTCACAGAATGTGCTCACATGTGAGCACATTCAGCTTCAGCTGTTGCTCATGTCAATGTCAGGTTGACATTATAGTAAAATATAATGTGCTCCAGGCCTGATTAAATGATTTTGCAGAAAAGACATGTGCCTAGCACAGGTTTAGTAATAAATGTTCAATGGTGGTTAGTTGAATTAAATTGGAAATTGGTATACGTGGAAAAGACTTGTGATGTTTACCAAGCATCTAATCACCTAGGAGCTATGCAAAGTTGAATACTTCAGCTTTCAAATATCATGTTTGTTTTTTGAAGGAAAAAATAGCTGCAGAGCAAAAAAGAAAAAAAAAAGAATAAATATGAGATGCAGGTAAATAGTGGAAGCTGAGAACAGAAGGATTTATAAACCCACAGACTATACAACTCACATTTGTACAGCAGGCTGCGGCTTGCTGAGCACTTTCATGCATAGTGCTGCATAGACTCTTTACAACAGCTCTGGGAGGGATGTACGATCATCCCTCTTGTAGAGATGGGACTAAAGAGGTTCAGAGAAGAAAATAAAAACCATTTTTCCTCCATGCATGGCCCTTTATTACAGCAGCAAGGGGTCCTGAATGACACTCAAGGGGATTGACATATTGGGGTAGAATGAGTGAAGTTAGGGAGCTAGAGGTCCATATGTGACTGCCGTCACAGATTTCATCATGGGAAGTGGTGATTAAGGAGTGGATTTTCATGCTGGGCATAAAAACGCAAGATCCAAGGCTGCTCAGGTTTGGGAACACTGGTGAATAACACCTTTGGCATAAATATGGTATAGTGTAATGGCAATTATGGATCACTCTCATGGCCTTGTGGCCAGAGCAGATCAATGACACAGCAGTGTGAGGAAGAATGTGCCAAATGTCATGTGGTGACCGCTAACCAAAGAGTTCTGGGGCACATGTAAGCCCCCCTCCACTGAGGACATTGAGACCTAACTGGGTCAGCTTTCACTGTGGAATGGAGGTCCTGTGCATGCAAGTTTAGATAAGAGTGAAATTTGGAGTTTTACTTTTAATGTGACTCTTCTCCCACAGACCAAGACAATTCCAATTCAGGTTATCCTTCTATATGAAGTATTGGGGGATAGATTTTGGTTAAAGGACATGAGCCTTGCACTAGAAGTAGGCAGCCTGATTCAAGTATCAGCATCGCAACTAACTAGTTATGTAACTTTGAGCAAATGACCACTGCTATCTGATCATCAAAAGAAGAGGGTAAGACTAGAGCTAAAATGCCCTCCACAAGCATGTGGATGATGCTTTAGGTGACAATAGGCGGTGACAATAGGCAGTGACGGAGGCCTTTGTGAACTGAAGAATATGGGTGCTACCTACAGGTATTCAAATACAAAATTTTTAAAATTCAGTGCTGGAAAAAAATCTTCAGTCCAACTCTGGTGTATGGACTACCATTTTATAACCTCTAGATAAGATATTGGCTACTCTAAAATTTAATTACTTCTACGAGGAAAATTAATGAAACTGATTCCCTTTCAAGAAAAATTAGCCATTGTTGAATATTTACTATGGTAGGGTAAATACCTCTTCATATCAAATCAGGTGGGTTTTTTTTCCATAGGTTTTACTCCTACTGACCATAGAAGACAGTGGAACAAGCACTCCATATGCAGTGAGCTTGGGTGATAATATTCAGAAATAATACAACAGAGTCTAGGCTTCTAGGTTTGTAAATAGACTTTTGCTAATAGCAAGAGAGCCAACAACAACAACAAAAAGAAAAGAAAATCACGGCTGGTTGGCTTAAAGCTCAGCTTTATTCTGTGAACCACAGAGAAGTGATTGACAGGGGGTAAAGGAAAATTGGAGGGCAGATAATGAGAACTCCACTGCTTGAGAGAAACTGAAAAGAGGCCCATGCCATAAAAATTCCAGATATGTTTCCAGGATGTTTCCAAAGTGGACGCTATCAGCAATTGTCTCCATACAGTATGCCCAGGAGAGTGGATGGAAAGTCTTATATTCCACATAGTGTGTGAGCAGTAGAATAGCAAAGACTGAGGGTGGTTTTAGCTAGATGGCCTTCATAATACTATTACACAATCTTGTGACCCTTTTGTGATGTCGGGAAGGCCGCTCTGAGAACTCTAAATCTCAAGGAAAGAGGAACAGGAACAGCAAAGAAAGCTGAAGGGCTAAGAGGCCTGGCTGATTGGAAGAGGATACGAAGTCAGAAAACCCTGCTACGGGAAGCCAAAGTGATGCTCAGGCATCAGCCATGGCATGGCATAGGCATTTGCTCAATGGTGTACCTCTTAGTGGGTCTCATTAGGGTCTTCCCTTGACCTGAGAGAAGACTGTAAGTTAAGTCAATAAACACTGACTGAGCCCTGATATACCAATTCCTGGGGAAATTGTTAGAGTAAAGGTAAACAGTTACAGTCCCACGTGTAGAGCAAAGTACACCAAGAATATAACAGAGAAAGAAGAAAGGAGCTCATAAGGTGAATAAAAGGGGAAGGCATTTCAAGTAGAGGATACCAAAGAGTACCCAAAGATGAAATCGAGCTACTCGCTAGGAGGAGCAGACTGTGAAGTTGCAGCCCTGCAGGGTGAGTGGGCGATGGAGCTCTTGTGTATGAAAAGTAGGCAAGTAAAGGGAAGTAAGTCTGGGAGAGTAATAAAACCACTCCAGGCTTATGACTGAAGGGATTCTTGAGGGTACACAAGTGAAAATGGCAAAGCATACAATAGTTATGCAAGACCTCAAAGGGGGACTGAGCACCGCGTTAGAGAGGAGAACTGAAATAACTCTTTTCTTTCTGAGCTAAATAATCTCACGAGAGCCTCTGTATCCCCTGAAGTCATAATTGTGACTGGAATATAGCATTTGCCCAATAAATATTAAAAGAATATATACACTTCTGTTCTAAATAAGGATATACTTTCTAATATTAAAAAGTTGCTCAAAGATAGCCTAAGATACCAAGGTGAGTATTGAGAACTCCAAACTCTGTGTAAGGCTGCCATTTGGGGTTGGTTCATACAACCTCTTTATTCCCTTCAGGTGCTGAAGCCTTTGCACTGGGTTTGGAGAGGGCAGTTGGCAGTGGATGAGAGGCTTGGGAAGCTGCAGGAACCAAAGAATGCATTGATTTATCTACTGGGTCTGGGGCCAGCCCTGCTAATCTTTGGGAAACTCTATTGCCAATTAAATAAATATTAGTTAAATAAGCACAAACAAGTGAAAAATAAAGAAACTAGAGAGAAAATACTCTAGATCATCATCATCTGGTCGCACTCACTTCTCTCCTACACACATCCAGATTTTGGAATCTGGATCCTGCCGTGTTCCCTCTCCCTCAGAGGCCTTTACTCAAAGAATCTTGTCACGTAAAGTCCTCATCCTTGGCCCTTCCTCATGGGCTTGTTGGTGTCAATTCATAGGTGATGCATCCTCTGCTTCACTTTACCCTGCTTCAGGGTGAAGCAGAGGCTCTCTTGTGTTTGTTTTCCTAGCACTCTGCTTTGTTTTGGCATTTATAATATTATCTAATTATTACTAATCATTGTTTACATGCTTGTCTCCCCTTCTGACATATGTATTTTTCATGGGTAATGATAATTTCTCTTTTGTTTTCCTCTAGTGTCTACTACAATGCTTGGCACATAGTAGGGTTTTTTTTTTTTTTTTTTTTTTTTTTTTTTATGAGACGGAATCTTGCTCTGTCGCCCAGGCTGGAGTGCGGTGGCGTGGCATGATCTTGGCTCACTGCAACCTCCACCTCCTGGGTTCAGGCGATTCTTCTGTCTCAACCTGCTGAGTAGCTGGGACTACAGGCGCATGCCACCACATCTGGCTAATTTTTGTATTTTTAGTAGAGATGAGTTTTCACCATATTGACCACGTTAGTCTTGAACTCCTCACCTCATGATCTGCCCACCTCAGCCTCCCAATGTGTTGGGATTATAGGTGTGAGCCACCGAGCCCAGACCATAGTAGATTCTTAATACATATTTGAAGGAATCCCCATCTTACAGCCATTCATTCCTTCTTATTACTTCAACTATGAAGCACTTCATGCCTAATATCATTTATCAAGTGTGTAAAGATAAAGATTCCTATTATTTCCTCTTATTCAATATAACCTGACCCTTTTCTGCAGATTTCATCCATCAATCAAGATCCAGCTGAAATGTAACCTCCAGAATCTCTTCCCTGATCACACCAGTTCTCATTATTCTCTTTGTCAATGTACTTCCATAGTTCTTGCTTTATACTTTGTGCCATCCAATTTCTGCTTTCCACCTTTTTGCTTTTATATCCTAGAGGTACACTAGGATACACTAGAAACACTAGGAAAAAAAAGTATGCACCTGAGGATTTCAAAATTGGAACATCTGGGCTTGTCTGATGAGTTCTCTTTGTACTAGTTTACTAGGGCTGCCATAACAAATACCACAGACTGGGTATACCACAAACAAATATCACAGAAATTTATTTTCTTTGAAATTTGGAGGCTAGAAATCCAAGATCAAGATGTCAGCAGGTTTGGATTCTTCTGAGGACTCTTGCCTTGGCTCGCAGACAGCTGCCTTCTCACTGTGCTCTCATACAGCTCTTCTTTGGTGTGCATGCATCCCTGGCATCTCTTTAAGTTTATTAATCTCCTCTTCCTGTAAGGACTTCAGTCAGAAGAATTAGGGCCCACCCTATGAGCCTCATTTTAACTTAATTACCTCTTTAAAGACACTGTCTCCAAATACAGTCACGTTCTCAGATACAGGGACTCAGGGTTTCAACACAGGAAGTTTGAAGGGGGCACAATTTAATCCGTAACACTATTAATTTAAAGCTCAATGCTTAGGTCTGGAATAGTCAATTAGAGGAGAGCCCAAGCTCCTTGACACTCAAGACCATGCAAGCACTGCAGCAGTGGCCACTGGACACAAACACAGACTGTTCATGGAAAGCCTGACACCCACCATGGCCTTGTCATGCCTTGGGGCTCAAAGGAACCTGGGGAGGCACAGGCTTTTGGGAAAAGGAAGAAAATTCGGACAGGGGCCTACCTCACTCTATTTCAGAACTTGGATAGGATGCATATTCACCACCCACTGCTCAAATAATGGGGCCAATTTGGGTGGGACTTGAGTCTTTGCTTATACCCAGAAAGGTTGAAAATGGTTGGTGGGATACTGTGTTTGGTTAGACTTACAGCCAGGTGAAGAATGGCCTTGTGTCTAAAACAATCACTGCACTGGAAGGAGGCAATTATAAAATTCCCTGAACGTTTATTTGCTTGCTGTTTCTTAAGCATAAGCAAACTGAAAAGACACCTATTCTAGAGTTAGGAGTTGCTGTTATTTGTCATGTCTTTGCTTAGTTAAGACTTGGGACACTAAAGGTCAACATAGTGAGGTACAAAGTTGAATCAGACATGGTTCAAAAGAGAGAACTGTCTAGTAGAACAGATAAAGCATGCTCTTAAATTAGATCAAATGGCATAACTCCTGACAGTCTGTTGTGAAGTGTAGAGTGCCACACAAAGGTAGGTTTTTCTCATCAATCACTGTAACACAGTATTCTCGATGCTGGTGAAGCAGAGACAAAGTGCAATGAGAGATCAGAAGATGACTTCATCCCTATTAGCATCTTGCAGTGTTGGGCCTGAGTAGACACAATAAATATACATTGACAGGCACCATTAGGCCCAGGACTGTCTTTATTCTTCTGCCCTCCTGGACTCTAAGGAGAAGATCCAGCTTCTTTCTTCAGATTTTCACCTCTCTTCTTTTAGATGATACCCATAACATGATGCCAATAGCATCATGATGTAATACAAGAACTTGAGTCAAATCCTGACTCCACCGATTGCCAATTACGTGACTGAAGCATTGTTATCAGTGGTCCTCTGTGAACTGAGATATTTTCTACCTTATATTCTTTATTGTGTACATTAAATGCAATCATTATACATATAGCACAGAGCACAGTTCTTGGTACAAAGTAAATTATTACTTCCAGTTTTTCTCTTTGAGCTTGCAGGGCATTTCAGGAGGTGCAATATAGAACCCTTAGTAAATTGCAAGTCTGTTTTCTCCCTCTCTTACCACACCCACAATGAGTTTAACTCTGAACTCAGGTCAAAGCAGTAAGGGTAATAGCTGCCAGGAGTTTATGGGAGTTTGTGTGCACACAGGGGTCAGGTGTTCTCAGGCACTGTCTACTGCTTGACCACCTTTTCTTCCCTCACAGTTTGTTTTTGTTGCAGAGTATAACAAATTCCTGGGACTGTGATCACCTGGTTGATCACCCAGTTTTAAGGTACTGGGGTAAGCTCTGCATCAGAAGGAAGAAGATTTTGACTCAATTTCACCTCAGTAACTTTCTATGACTTTGGACAATGTACTAAACTTCACCAAGCCTCAGTTTCCTTATCTGTGATGGCCATGTACTAACAGAACTGATTACAAGGTCTTGGTATATGAATTGAATTGAATAACACTTTTGTATGATTATCCTTGTTATTATTAGTCATTCAATTATTTAGACAGTAATAGTATGAAAAATGAAAATTGAGTTTGAAGGCCACAGACTCAATAAACGAGTTTATCATAAAAACAACACAAAATTTGCCTAGAAGTATTCATTCGTGTCTACTGTATGTTTATTACTTTTGACTACTTAGAGAAAGACACGGGCTTGTAATGCCAGGTTAATATTTTTGTTACTTGAGAAAGGTTTGTAAAACAAATTGAATTGTACAGAGGAGAAACAGTTTAGATGACTGTGGTTTAGGTTATATTATAATATGTTATTTGGAAATGGCAAATAAGGGTAAGGGAAGGACATGTTATTTAATGATTCCTCTACCCAGCCGTTCTTTTTCTTTTATTCATTTGTTCGACAAACATGTAGAAAAAGAGTTAGCAAAGAAGACTGAGTAGATAGATAAAAATAAAACAGAGAGTTTTTCACTTATTTATTCGCTCAGTTAATTAACAATTTAGTTTTTGCTATGGGCCATACCTTCTCTGAGATACTAGTGAAACGCTGGTAAATAAAGCACTTATAATCCCTGCTTTTATGTAGCTTATGGCCTATTTGATTCCAGAGGAGGTAACAAACACTAACTAAGAAAATGAGTAATTTAAGCATATTAAAAAAATGAAGGAAATGAGGAGTGCTGGTAGGTAATAATGATGTAGGTATATGTGTGGGGCCCTACTTATATAAAGTGATTGGGAGGGTAACTGAAGAAGAAAGATGTATGCCAAATTCTGAGTGAGGGTTATTATTAGAACATTATGTCTTCAGCTTCTAGATGAAGCTGGAAAGCTGAGTTCTTTTAGGTGACAGAATGTATGCCATGCAGAAATAACCAAATAAATTCTTGTTTAATTTTTAAAAACTCTTTGTGCTATAAGTACCGTTTTATATCAAAAGTGAATCAATCACCTTAGCTAGTAAAACAAACAGGTACATGCAGTACAACAGGTGAGATTTTCTAAAATCTCTAAAAATACTTGACACTGCATTAATAACAGTAAACAGTTTTTAAATTCATGGCCAAACTAACTGGCACTTACAGTCACTCTCTCTTGCATATGCACACAAAGAAATTTTCAGAGAGCACAAATACAGAGGGAGAAAACCAGAGTGATAAATAAATGCTGAGTGGTTAGCTTGCAGGTATTTGCCAAGACCGGGTATCCAGAGTCTTCAGTTTTAATGGCTTCAGAGCCACAAAGGATGCATAATTAGACCTGAGGACTCCTACATATATCTGGAACCTCAGAGGCTACATCACCAGTAAGGGCAGTTGTGAGTGGGGGTGTGGAGGCTGCCACCAAAGAAAGCCACAGAAGAACTCTGTGTCGGCATTGGCTCTCAGGGTAGAGAAAAAAAATGTACCTGAGAATTTGTAACTATAGGCCATACCTCAAGGAGGTTTGGAATTTGAAACTATGCTGTGTAGTTTGTGAAACCTCAAGCATAAAATGTCCTAAAAGTGATCTTGGGTTGGTGGTGCCTTAGGATTCCTGGTAGTAGTGGAAATGTAAATTTGCTTTAGAGAAACTAAGTCATCAAGAATGAGAAGAACACAAATTGCAGAATTAGATACCAGAGACTTCATATTTAAGGTGTTTTCAGTCTAGGAAACGGCAACAGGCAATTAAACACAATATGATAACATTCTACAATAAGATTGTGAAGAGATTCCTAGAGGGAAGGACTAAACCCAAACTTAGAAAATCGAGTAAGTCTTCCCAGGTGAAGTCATGTTTAAAAATAAATGGGGGTCAGGCACGGTGGCTCACACCTGTAATCCCAGCACTTTGGGAGGCCGAGGTGGGTGGATCACCTGAGGTCAAGAGTTCAAGACCAGCCTGGACAACATGGTGAAACCCCGTCTCTACTAAAAATACAAAAATTAGCCAGGTGCAGTGGTGCCCGCCTGTAATCCCAGCTACTCAGAAGGTTGAGGCAGGAGAATCGCTTGAACCTGGGAGGCAGAGGTTGCAGTGAGCCGAGATCATGCCACTGCACTCCAGCCTGGGCGACAGAGCGAGATGCCATCTCAAATAATAATAATAATTATAATAAAAATAGGAATTGTCCAGGCTAGGACAGTAAAGGAGCCAAAGCGGAGAGGGTCTCAGAAGTCATATAGCACCACTTCTGCCTTAATCTATTATGAGATTATTACATAGAATATAAGAATATTAGAAATGTTTAAAAAATAAAATGTGAAATAAAAATATGAGACTGGAATATGATTATATAAGTGGTTCAAAGTATTTGAAAAGAACCATATGCAGTGTGTTGCATAACATTTCAGTCAATGATGGACCACACATACAATGGCAGTCCCATAAAAGCATCATGGAGGTAAAAAAATTCCTAATGCCTAATATTTACTATACTATACTTTTTATTGTTGTTTTAGAGTGTGCTCCTTCTACTCATATATGTATTATAAATAGCTTCAGGAAGGTCCTTCAGAAGCTACCCCAGAAGAAGGCATTGTTATCACAGGAGATTACAGTTATTGATCCTGAACACCTTCCACTGAAACAACATGTAGAGGTGGGAGATGGTGATATCAATTATCTTGGCACTGTGTAGGCCTAGGCTGATGTGCCCACTTATGCCTTAGTTTCTCACAAAAAAAATTTAAGAAGTAAAAAATTTTTAAATAGAAAAAGGCTTATAAAGATACAAAAAAATTTTTGTTTAACTGTGCAAAGTGTTTGTGTTTTAAACTAAGTGTTTATTACAAAAAGTCAAACAAGTTAAAATGTTTATGAAGTAAAAAAGTTACAGTAAGCCAAGGTTAATTTATTGAAGAAAACATTACAAAAGAAATTTAGCCAAGCCTAATTGTACAGTGATCATAAAGTTTACAGTAGTGTACAGTAATGTCCTAGGCCTTCACATTTACTCGCGACTCATTCACTAACTCACCCAGAGCCATCCGGTCCTGTAAACTCCATTCATGGTAAGTGCCCTATATAGATATACTAGATTTTATCTTTTGTACCATATTTTTCCTATACCTTTTCTATGTTGAGATAAGTTTAAATATATAAATACTTACCATTGTGTTACAACTGCTGATAGTATACAGTACAATAATATACTGTACAGGTTTATAGCCTAGGAGCAGTAGGCTGTACCATATAGCCTAAGTGTGTAGTAGGCTATGCCATCTAGGTTTGTGTAAGTACACTCTATGATGTTTGTACAACAAAACTGCCTAAAGACATATTTCTTAGAATGTATCCCTATCATTAAATGACGTAAAACTATGTCGAACTTCCAGAAATAAAATAGTTAAAAAACCACCCCAAACCAAACAAGTATACAAACAAAGAACCAAATAAAAAAACTCTATATTTTTGTGAAGGAGCAGAGTAGTTTTAAGTGAAAGGATTATTAGTGAATTGGAAAATATGTCTGAAGAAGTTATACAGAGTGCATTACAGATAAACAAAAACAAAGATGAAAAAGTTAAGGAACACGAAGAACAGAAAAAGAAAGGCTAACATATGTTTAACAGTAGTCACAGAGAAGAGAATAAAGAGAATTTGGGAGAGGCAATATGGTATTGTTTTACAGTTGAGAATGGTCCAGAACTAATTAAAAATAAATCAGAGTTAGAAAACAAAAGGATTCTAAGTTAATGAATAAAATATGTACCCAGATATATCATGAAGAATATGTATAACATTAAAAACTAACAGGAAATCTTAAAAGTAGCCAGAGGGGGAGAAAATAAAAGAGCAAAAGAATAACTAGACAGATGGTGAACTTAACAAGAATGGATGCCAGAAGAGGATATTTCAGAATTGAGAGAAAATAGTGAATCTAGAATTGTGTAATCAACAAAGCTATCTTTAAATGAGAGTTAAATAATGATTTTTAAAAATAGACAAGAAAGAGAGTGACTACCAATAGCCCTTTCCTAGAGAAATGTAAAGGATGTGCTTTAAGTGAAGGAGAGCAATCCCAGAGGGAATATTTGAAATGCAGGACATAATGACAAGCCAGCCAATTACTATACCTGTGTGTGAAAGGCTAATTGGTCATACATATGGAAAACAATGAAATTGGATCCCTAGTTCACTTGCAGTACGAAAGTCAACTGTAGATAGATTAAAAATTCAAATGCAAAAAGGTAAACTTTATGCCTTTGGAGAAAATGAAGATTTTTTTTTTAACCCCAGTGTTTGAAAGATTAACCTAGACATATGCATAAATCAGAGGGAAAATTTGACTCCATTTAATTTAAAAAACCCTTATCGAAAGAGAACATTGAAAGCCATAAGACAATTACCTAGAAAATAAAGAGGCTTAAAAAAATCAAATTATTGAACGACTCCATAATACACAGCGAATAACATGAACAAGCAATTCTCAGGAGACATATGAAGAAAAATAAAAATATGCTAAACTTCAATGGTAAACAGAATGAAGAAAATTAAAACTACTTTGAGATATATTTTATCTACCAGATGGCTCAAAGGTAAAAAGTCTTACAATTCTAAGTGTTGGTGAAAATATGGAGTAACAAGAACTCATATGCAGAAATTAAATTCTGAGGCATATACCCTAGACTGAGAAATTCTAACTGATATGCAATGAGTCACATACAAGGGTGTCAGCAACAAACAAAACCCATCACTTAAAACACAAAAAAGCTATAAGAGCAATTGAAATGACCTTTAAAATAATGAACAAATCAATGACAATATATTTGATCAATGAAATAATATGTAGTAACAAAATGAAGTAAAAATGTACTATAGTTATACTCACTGGTATAAATGATTGTTACAAATGTTGATTAAAAAAAGCTGCAGTAGAATATTATGTATGAAACTATGTATGCATAAACACACAAACATATGTTTTAGGGAAAATACAAAAACATCTACAGACAAATTATCCAAATAAGATTTACTATGGTTTCTGGATATAAGATCAACACATAAAAACCAACTTTATTCCTATATACCACCAAAAGAAAGTATAGCACAATAAAGTACCATTTCCAATTTATTATAACAAAAAATAAATAAAGTACCTACATATACACACATGTAGCAATTATATTAATAGATAAGTGGATATTATCAATCCCAAATATAGGATAGCACTTTCCTCTAAATGAGAGAATAGGAAATGCCATCAGGGAAGGAAACAGAAGGCTTCAACTGTATTGGTAATGTTTTATTTCTTAAAGGGAGGGGTATTTATTATTCATTACTATATATTTTTATATCTTTAATATTGCAAAATACATATTATTTAAAATCCTCAAAAATATGAGCTCAAGTCTAATATTTAAGCCAGCTTCCTATTCTGAGGCCCGGTTCCCCACGAAGCCACAGAAGGAGGTGAAATTAAGAAAGTAAGGTACAGTCTGGAGACAGAAGCAGAAGTCAGAGGTTCCAGGTGATATCTTTTTGGATTGTTGAGGTTTTCTCTGTGAAGTCACATTTTTATTTAAAACATCTTCCACTTCTCAAGACTTTTTTTTTTTTTTTAAGAAAATCTTCCCATCCGCAGAAGAAACATTTTCTTTCCTCGAGTTATCTTCTGGGTTCCTGTTGTTTTCTTATATTCCATAACTTCCTATTTGAATTACATTATTTGTATATGTGCCTTTTCTCCTCTATTCCTCTCCCCCAGTGTGAAGTCTATACTCCATGAAGCACAGCGTAGTTTGCTCTCAGAACTCACCAGCCGAAAGAAAGGGACAGGTGGTGTGAGAAGAATACAGGCTATGGGAGTTAGGTAGAACTAGATTCAAATTGCATTTCTAGCTTCTAGTAGCTGGGCTGCTCCAGGGGAGTGACTTCACCTCTGAAAGCTTCATTTCCTCAATTGAGAACTAGAAATATTAATAGCTAACATCTCAGGAAGTTGTGTGGTGAGGAGAAGTGTTAATTACAGTACCTGACCCAGAGCAGGCCTACCCGATAAACATCAGTTCCTTTGCCCCTTTATTTTCTTAGTTTGAAAGGTCTGGAAGTGTCTGCAGTAGAGTTATATCAATGCCAATGCTATGGAAAATTCAGGTTTAATGGTAATCTATATACATGGTAAGCCTAATTGCTTTTGAATAAGCAGTCATTTTACTAGGAATGTAATGTGGGTTTATAGATGATAATTTAATGCACTGAGCACTCACACTTAGAAGCCTGGTAGGACCCTGATGAAGGCTGATATTCAGGAACTGGTAAAATTCAGTCTGTGAATGTTCCCAAGGACATCGGGACACTTCCCTTGTGTCTGTTCCTATAGGACAGAAATCAAATGCATTCTTGGATCGTAAGACCAATTTCTTGCCTCTGCAGTGTCATTCATTCTCAAAATAAGCCTTAATTAATATGAAAGCTAAACACCTCTCTACCATTCTCAACACACACAACAATATTTTTTAAATTTGAAGGCTTTCCTATGTTTCACTAAAGATGTGAAAGTGTTCATCCTTTAGATTATACACTTATAACTCAGGTAAACATGTCTTTCTTGCTAGAGGGTACATGGAACATCATATATTTCAGTAATGTCACACCTGTCATTGGCATTACATATTAATCAAATAGGACAAGCTTTCTCTTTCCTCATCAGGACGACTGTCCAGGGATTTGAAGATGCTGTCCAGTCCTCCTTGAACTTTTAATTGTCCAGGCAAAATCTGCCTTATTTTTTCAACTACTGTTCAAGATAAAGTTTTTTATCTTAAAAAGTGATGAAAAAAGAATATTTTCAAAGATGTCATCAGAAAATAAACATTCTAGATGTATTTAGAACAAAAACTGATAGAACAGGATTATCGCCTCCCTTATTTGTACTAAAGTCCAGTTAATGGAGCTTAAATGTACCTTAGAGTCTTTGATGACATTGCTTCATTTCTCACTAATTAACAGGCTTGCCAGGAACTAAATTCCAAAAGTCTTCTCCACACAACCTGTTCCTGCACTGTGTCTGCTCATCCTGTACTTGCATGATTCATTATCTGGACAAGTATTTGTTAAGTGCTCACACTGTGCCAGGTACTGTGCTGGCTGCAGGAGATACAATCAAGATATAGCTCCAATGTTTAAGGTGTTTTCAGTCTAGGAAAGGGCAATAAGCAATTAAACACAGTACGATAACATTCTATGGTAAGTATGTGAAGAGATTTCCAGAGGAAAGGACTAAACCCAAATTTAGAAAATCGAATAAGACTTCCCAGGTGAAGTGATGTTTAAAAATAAATAGGGAGTATCTAGGCTAGGAGAGGAGTCAAAGCAGAGAGAGTCTCAGAAGTCATATAGCACCACATCCACCATAATCTATTAGATGAGAAAGTCACTAGGTCCACACAAGGACAAGGTGAGATGCCACAGGTGCCATCTCTTCATGGAATATTGGCAAGGGTCTAGAAGAGCAGGCATTTGGAAAATATAGTTTGCCATATAAGCAATGTGGTATGGTTCAAGTACAGAATATGGGAGATTGGGAAAAGGTCAGAGACAGGACCAAAAGTAAGCTTCAACTTGTTAGGTTTGTGTTTTTGCTCTAATCCCCATTTTCCCTGGCACTGTGTTTTCTGCCAAGGCTTTAGCAGCAACCTAGAGAAATGATTCTTTAACATATTGGGAAATGTGCCATTATGTATAAGACACAGAATGCCTTAATCTGTTAAAGATTACCAGCTAAGAGATAGGAATATTTATTGGCAGGGGAGAATCAATAGGCCTGGTGGATCATGTTTGTGACAGGGAATCCAAAGCACAAAGTTTAAAGACCCTACTCTGGGACCTTGGACAAGCTCTAAAACCTCTTTAAGATTTCCTTCCCTCATCTATAAAATGTGGATAGTAATTGTACTGAATTGCTATAAAGAAAAAAATCAAATAACGCTGTAATGTAAGATATTATTAGTGATTTGCATATTACATCAACCACAGGAAAGTAAGCTCAATGAGGGCAGAATTTTTATCTCTTTTATCTTAGGGTCCCCAGTACCGATAACAACTTTCAGATCATAGAAGAGGCTCAAGTAGTTGTCAGAAGAAAACTTGTCAAATGAAGGATTGAATGGATTGCTCTACAACTGCACATAAGCCAAAGACTCCGTATGTGGGTGGAGTGTGGTGTGGTCAGAAGTGGTTGGTGACAGGGTGGATTACTAGAAGTGAATCAGGTGCACAGACTCATCAAATTGGGCTCTCAGAAACTTTATGATCAAACTCTATATAATCACATTTTAAAAAATGTGAGACCCTGAAGTCCAAGGACATGGTTCTGATCAGCTTGGGAGTCCCACAGATGGGAAACATTAGAACTGGGAGTAGAACTAGGTCCTTATGATTCTCATGGGGTGTGCGTGAAGAGTGCCGTGTTTTCTCTGATATGCACTGGTGCCATAGTTATGATTCTGAATGTTGTTCATCCCTACCTCAGTCTGGAGATCCACTGATTTAGCTGGTCCAAAATCTAAAGATAGAAATATTATTTACATGGAAATCTTTGTAAGGTAGAATCACATTTATTATTATATAAGTCTTCTCATTTACATATACAATGTTTTTGAATATTCATTGCCTTCTGCTACCTGGAGGCACTTCTCTAGTCCCCATCTGTGTCCCCTCCATCAATACAGTCGGTGTTATGATGGGGACTGCCTACAGAGAACTCTGAGCGAAAGCTTGGGAGAGCCTTCATTGATGAGGTCCAATAGCGGAGGTTAAAGGACAGTGTTAGAGTCTATCAATGCTTACTGGGGGCTTTATTCTTTGTTGCAATGAAAATTTACAGAACTGTGAGAAAGACATTAGAAAGGCAGAAGCTATTTGTCTGAAGTTTGTTTAAGGAATAGAAAATGACAAAGGTTGGGGACCTACTTGTGAAGTAAGTGTGCTGAATCTCATTTGATAGATAGGAAACTCACGCTCAGACAGCATTTCTATTGGACCAGATTTCCAGGCCGTAGCAACATAACGGGCTGTCTAGAGTAGTGATGCTCAGCCTTGGTTGCATATTATAATGACTTGAGGGACTTGAAAAATACTGGGGGGGTTCCACCCCCAGAAATATGGACTTAATTTAGGATAAGACCTATGTCCTGGAATTTTATAAACCTCCTACAAGATTCTAATATGCAATGTTGAGAACTATTGGTCTAGACCATGATGTGACAAATGTTTTCTGTAAAGGACCAGAGATTAAAAATTGTATGCTTCATAGGCCATACAGTCTCTGTCTCAACTATTCAGCTTTGCCATTGTAGCACAAAAGCAGTCTCAGGTAACATGTACACAAGTGAACATGGCTATGTTAAAATATAACTCTATTTCCGGGCGGGGCACCGTGGCTCATGCCTGTAATCCCAGCACTTTGGGAGGCCGAGGCGGGCAGATTACAAGGTTAGGAGTTTGAGACCAGCCTGGCCAACATGGTGAAACCACATATCTACTAAAAATACAAAAATTAGCTGGGCGTGGTGGCGGGTGCCTGTAATCCCATGTACTCAGGAGGCTGAGGCAGGAGAATCGCTTGAAACTGGAGGGTGGAGGTTGCAGTGACCCGAGATCACACCACTGCACTCCAGCCTGGGCAACAAGAGCAAAACTCCATCTCAAAAGAAAAAAAAAAAGGAAAAACAAAACAAAAAACCCCACCTTATTTCCAAAATCAGGTGGCGGGCCAGATATGGTCTATAGCCTGCAATTTGCTGACTTGTGGTCTAGACACTAAAGCCATCAATCATGAATTGAAAGGGAGTATAATATTTAAGGTCAGGGGATGTTATTTGTGGAAGGATAATTGGGTTGGTTGGGGAAAACAATTAAAGGTGAAATAATATTACTCCCAAAAGCCAATTTCTAAAAGCATGCATAATATAAAATTCTATTTTTTCCATTAGATAGTTAATTTTATATTTTTGGAAAAGTCCCCAGTGACTAATAAGGCTTTTAAACACTGGTGCTACCTTCTGTTCAAATGTTTTTGTATAGATATGTAAACACACACCCACTTTTATAGCCGATATCTTCAGAGTATTTTACACAAAAGATTCATGGTTCACATCATATTTCTGCTCATGTATTTGGAGTAAATACTGGGGCGTGCATGCTCATAATCTGTTACCATTATTTTTTCAGACTGTTACCTTTGACAAAAAATAATATTGTAGGAGCAGCCAGGGATTTTGCCTTCCTCAGTGGTGAGGGAAATGCTTTGCAGCTAACAGTATACTTCTGAGTTTTCCCATTTGACTTAACTGTTGACACGTCTATGGTACTGCCCAAATTGGGTCATAGCCCCTGGTTTTTCTTTGGCAAAGTTATGACATTGTTTAGGCTTTCCCAGTGCTGCTCAATTACAGAACCCAAGGTCCAGCCAGGTCTGGTCAGGGCAGGGAGTACATAGTAGGGCCAGAACAAATGGCAGGAGGTCTGGGATTGGTTGGGTTGCCAAGTGGTCCTATGAAAGCAAGGTGGGAGGGAAGAGCCAGGCACTTGTGTTCATAGCCTTAGCTTTCCATCACTCCATATCTTGATGGTCTGGTCTGCATGGTGGGGCTTGTGCCTCAGTATCCTGTTAGCTGCTACTGCTGTCTCTGCTTCCAAGGTCTTCACCACTCATGACACTTTACTCCCCCAGCCTCCCTAGTTCCTAATAGAATTGGCATTGGGATTTGGTTCTAAATTCCAACCCAGCTGCCTGGGCCAGATAATGATGATAATAATGTTAATGATTAATCATAATAATTCTATTAACTGATACATTGAGAGCTGTTTATGAAATCCTTCATCAAAGTATTTACATGTATTATTTGGGGCAGTAACAGAATATAGTCTCTTGTGAGAGGATACTTCAGGTTATACTTAAAGTGTATACATCCTGTTAATATATATAAGTATTCCCTGCACTCCTTATCACTGTCTGGAAACTTGCTTTGAAATGATTCCCATAGGATTTTCCTGTTGCTACTCATACACCTTATCCTGGACAACAACAGTTGAACTAAACACCCTTGACCTTTGGTGAGGACTGGCATTAAATCCAGTTTTAAACTCCCCTTTGGATACTATAGAATACAAAATACCACTTGCTTCAGGGTATCTGAAATGCAGGATCAGACCCAGCCCAGGTCTGGCCCTTTCAACTTCTCATTGACTTGCATGAGGCCGTTAACATGTTTCATGCCTGTGCCTATTAGCATAGAGGACACCAACATGAGAAAGAATCACCTACCACCCTGGATGCGTTTAGACTCTTACCTGGTTGATAGATGTATAATTATATCGTCCTTACCACCACCACCACTATCACCCCCATCTCGGACGTCACCACTATCACCCCTATCTCAGCCACCACACCACTGCTACCACCACCATTCCCAGTGCCAACAAAACTGGCACCATCACTACCAACACCATTGTCACCTTCAGCACTCCCAACCCATCATCACTGCCCCCACCACCCAATGCTGCCACCGCCCATCCATACCGCAGCCACAGCCACTAATCACTATCATTGCAGGTCTACTCTTTGTTAGGTACTAGGTAGTTTACATGTACTCCATATAAAGCTTACAACAACTCTCAAGATAGGTAACAGAGGCTTTAATTTACAAATGAGGAAATTAATGTTTAAAGCAGGAAGGTGATTTACCTATGACCACACAGCTAATAAAGGGAGAGCTGGCACTTAAATCCAGCTCTGTTGGGCTCCAGTGCGCATACTCTTTCCATAATACTAATTCACATCTAAGTCCTTTCTCTGTTTGAGACACTGTTCTAAGTAGGTGGATTAACTCATTTAATCCTAAAAACAACCATGAAAAGTAGGTACTAGTATTATTCTCCCAGATAGCAAGGCCAATAAAGCAAAGTAAGGAATAGTCAAGTCACTTGGCAAAGGTCATGGGGCTGGTATTTTATGAGGTTTCCAGGGTAGACTGTGAGACCTCAGGCCAGTGTTCCTAACCTAGCTCTGAACTGCCTTTTATAGACATTGCCAGAAAGCTTACCAACACCACCAGGTGGCTTATGCTAGAGAAGAGGGCAATAATAAGGCAGAAATCAGATTAACACATAGAGTTGGGGAAGCCGGAGTAGACCCCTTTGAGCTAAATATTCCCAGGTACATACCTATCCAGCAGAGAAGCCCCTGCCAGCAGTGTGGCTTTGTAAGCTGAAAAAAGACTAAATATTGAATAAAGGTTCCTGAATAAAGATGTTTACTTCCCTTCATGGCTATCAGTTTGCCCAGCTTTAGATTTTACTTCTTGCATTCTAAGCAAGAAAACACCCTTAAAAAAGCAATTTCTTTGTCATGTTTTTAAAACAGATAAAATCTAGTTTTCATTTTACCATCTTATGAAATTTATGTTTTCTATTACCACTAAAAGTAGCATGGGGCCAGTCAGACACATTGTTTTAGAATCATAATCTGAATTTTGAGGATTCGTTCTGAGGTTGAGCCTTTATAGTTAAGGGTCAAACAAGCTGCTGGTAAAGTTAAAAAATTATATTTATTAGAGAAGTTAGTAAAGAGGATATTCTTTTCACAAAAGATATTTTCCAAGACACTCTCCAACTGAAGACATTGTTTTTGCCTTGACTGTTGACTCAATGCCTCATAGAACATCAACACGAGGGGGGCAGTGAGCCTTTGAGACTTTAAGTCCATATGATCTTATCTAAACTAGATGACTTCAACATTTTTCAAATAGGGATAATAGTGGCATTTAACTCATAGAGTTGAAAGTAAGTGAATGAACAGTACTTTGAAATTTTTTAAAGACATGGATACTGAGGCCCAGAGAGGCCAACCTCTGAAAGCCACCCAGTGAGCTGGTGTCAGGAAAGCACCATGACTCAGATGCTTTAACTTCTAGCTCATTGTTCCTGTACTGAGTAATTCCACCTGTTTCTTTAGGAATAATAGGGCACCTGAGACTGACTTCAAAGCATCAGGCCACAGCCTAGATCCCATCGAGTCCAAGGTGACTAAGGTGGAGAGGCAGAGATTAAAATGCTCATCAGTCCACTCAAGCCTTCCCAGTGCCCATTACCCTCCCAAGGGCATTTTACTATCTCTGGTCCCATGACAGTTCCACACTGTTAAAGGTGTTGCTGAAGCTACAGTTATTATAGTTATTAACATTTTATGAGCTTGTTACTCACCCCTTAAGCTTCTTAATATAAAGTGGTACATTTTAAAAGCACAGCACATTCCTAATTGATTCTGATATAAAAAGATTGCTGGACTCCTTGGATTTCTGTCTTTGCTTCTGAGTCTATGGTGCATTAAGGAGGACAATACAGATTTACGGAGTTAGAAGTAGTACAAGACAGCTCAAATTTTTTTCTTGCTGGAGATTGTACAATTTTGTTTATTTCAATGGACTTTTATTTCTACTGTCGTGAATGAGGATTATTGTTTAACCTCTGGATTTTTTTTCCTTGTAGATGCATTATCTAATGTCTACATCTAAGGGGCCCCGAATTGCTACATTATGCAACGGTAACTCATATTTGGACTTGGGCTCTTCAGACTGTAACTTTAACCTATGGAAGTTTTGTCAATGATTTATCTCACCCTTTGCAAAATAAGTATCTTTATTTTGAAAAAGGCTCTGGCCCCAAATTTGGAAAGCCTATGCCCTAGTCCTGTGTGACATCCTCAGCCTCCTGCCTCTGATTTGTAAGATGAAAACCATAGCCTTTGCCCTGCATGGCTCAAACGATGAATTTTAGTGGCCACATGAAGATTGGAACTTAGATTCCTTTACCTTCTCACATTTAATGAAAATAGTATTCAGAAACAGGTTCATAAAACTGCTTTAAGAATGGCAAAGGAATATACAAACAAAAGAGATTATTGTTGTTATCATTCACTGGGCAATTTACTGAATTTCCTCTTATATTACAAAATGTTTGAAGTTCAACTGAAACTAAAATGATTTCTTAAAATTAGAAAATGATGATTGTCCTTGTGACTATCACTTGGTTGAGTATAAATTTTATATTATTTTAGACTATAGGATGGGGTAGGATAACCCATGTTCTTCAGAGGATAAAGATATGAATACAATTTGCACCTGGGCTGAGAGTTTGACCCCATCTCTTCTCCGAAGGAGATTCCTATTCTCCTTTTCTCAGTTTCTTGCCCTGGATGGGGATAAAACTTGTATCCAAACAGGAAAAATATTAAAGATGGGAGTTTCCACTTCTCCATGACAATGTTATGATGAAAATACCTGACAGATTGTTTCTGAAGTACTTGCATCACTTTAGAAGTAAATACATATATCAATCATTATGCTAAGAATGGATCTTCTTTCATTTTCTCCTCCCACAAATATTTACCAAATATCCCACATTATGTCAAGTCCTGTGCTGGGCACAGATTTCCCGACTCATGGTTCTCCCAGTTTAGCTGAGGATCTCCCATCACAGTACATGCAGATAAGTTTGTATTATAAGAGGCAAAACTAGAACCAAAAGAGTAAAGGCAGCGTCACTGCCATCTAGGTGGAGGAGGGGACATTTGAATTGTCTTGAGGGATGAATACGAACCACCCAGATGTAGGAGAGATGGGTGACGGGTTTGCTACAGAGAGAAGAGGGTGTCCAGAGGCAGCATGTTGCATAAAAACATAACACAGACTATAAAGGACAAGCTCTTTGATGTTCATGGAACAACAGAGTTGGTCTAGTTGGGTATCCTGCAGTGATAACACTTCAGGATTAGCTAAGGACCAGGTCTCTGAAGGTATGGGAGGATAACATTACTGCAGAAAGATCCACTGTCACATCTGTTTGGGGCTGGGGGGTGGGTATCTGGATTCCATACATGGAAGAACCAGTGATAATTATAGGATCTTAATTTTACAAATTCTTTAATTTCTTTACTAATAAAATGGTAATGATTCTATCTCCCATATAGGGTGGTTTCAAGGATTTGGTCTTTGTAAAGGGCTGCATATAGAGCAGGCATTGAAGGTCATTCCCTCCAGTGCTCTAGATATCAACCCTTCTCCTTATCTCAAGGTCTTTACTGCTGAAATTATTCCCCCCTCTTTTGAGTCATTAATTTCTTCCTCCCTTCTAGATAATTTATATTAACTCACCAAAATAAATACTCACTTGATAATTTCTTTGGTTTAAAAAAATTCTTATCTCACTACATTCTATTCCAACTACGGGTAACTTTTCCATAAAATTAGAAAATTTCTTGAAAGAGATCTCTATAGCTTCTCCCTACCCTTTATAACTTTACATTTTATATTACCATCAAGCTTTCACCTCCACCATCCCTAAAGACTGTTCATGCCAAGGTTATCAATCATCCCCAGTGGTCACTTCTCTGTTCTTTTGTCCCTTTCCCTTTCAGCAGTGATTGACATGCCGACTTCTCTCTCAATGGTGAAATGTCTCCTTCTGGCTTCACTAATGTCACAGTCTGCTGATTTTCCTCTTACCTCCCTGTTCCTCCTGCTTTGCTATCTCTGAATGGTGAACTATCAAGGTCTTTCTCCTTGGCCCTTTTCTCTACATCTGTCCTCTCATTCAGCCCCACAATGTTTTATTTTCTTTTTAAGTTCTGGGATACTTGTGCAGAGCATACAGGTTTGTTACACTGGTAAACATGTGCCATGGTGATTTGCTGCACCTGTCAACCCATCACCTAGATATTAGGTGCAGTATGCATTAGCTATTTTTCTTGATGGTCTCCCTCCCCCACCCAACCCCTGCCGCCACCACAAGCCCCAGTGTGTGTTGTTTCCCTCCCTGTGTCCTTATGTTCTCAGAGTGTTCAGCTCCCACTTACAAGTAGGAACATACAGCATATCTACAAGGAACTTGAATTTACAAAAACAAACAAACAACCCATTAAAAAGTAGGCAAAGGACATGAACAGACACTTCTCAAAAGAAGATATTTATGTGGCCAAAAAACAAAAGAAAAAAAGTTCAACATTACTGCTCACTAGAAAAATGCAAATCAAAACTAGAATCAAAAATACTATCTGACCCAGCAATCCCACTACTGGGTATATACCCAAAATAATATAAATCATTCTATTATAAAGATACATGCACACATATGTTCATTGCAGCACTATTCACAATAACAAAGACATGGAATCAACCCAAATGTCCATCAGTGATAGACTGGATAAAGAAAATGTGGTACATATATACCATGGAATACTATGCAGCCATAAAAAGGAATGAGATCATGTCCTTTGCAGGGACATGGATGGAGTTGGATGACATTATCTTCAGCAAACTAAGGCAGGAAGAGAAAATCAGCCCCATAAATTTAACACCATGGAAAGACACATCCACATTACCAGCCCTGATCCTTTCCCAGGACTCACATGGCACTTAGAGTAAGATAAATTTATCACTATGGCTTATGAAAACATAAAGTTCTTAACTCACAGCCCTACCTATGTTTCTGACCTCATCACATAACACTCCCCTTTGTTCATTGCACCCAGGTCACATTGCCTTTAAAAAGAAATTCTTTGAAGACACAAGCTTGCTCCCTACTGCCACAAGGACTTTATGTTAGCTATTTTCTCTGACCAGAAAGCTCTTCTTCTAATATTCACATGTCTGGCTCTTTCCAGCCTTCCATGAGTACTTTATGTAAAGTAATCCCAACATACTCATATTCACATGACTTTATTCTAATTTTTCACATAGCTGTTATCCCTATCTGATAATTTTTCCTATTTCATCTTGATTGATATTTTCCCTTTACTATAATGTTAGCCCCATGTGAGTGGGGAATTCATTTATCTTGTTAATTCCTTTATCCCAGGTCCCAGGACACTGCCCGGCAAAGGTAAATGTTCAATAAATATTTGTAAAAGGAATGGCACAAATAAATGTTAGTTTTCTTCCCACAAACCCTGTAAACAAATGCTATTTGAGTGAATGAATAAATAAGAAGCACTATCTATGCTTGTCTGCTCCCTTCTTTCTGTAGCCAGCCTTTGCAGAAATCCATCACATGCATTATATTTAAATTGTTCCATATGGTCCTTCTTGGGTGACTGGGTTTTACTTTTTCCTGAGTTTGTCCCACTGGTAGATCACCTTAATTTCTTTCAAGTCTTTGACATTATTCCTTTTATCCAGAAGGAAATAAAGGCAATAATTAGCAGTTGTCATTAACTATAAGCTGCTCTTGAAGGGTTGGATACTCCTTTCTAATCTTTGAGGGTATGGAGGTTCCCTCCTAGAGTGGAATTAACATGACTTTCTGAGGAGGTTATCCTGAAATATCCTGGCATGGAAATTTTACAGTGCATTTTTATTTGACACATAAAGGTAAAAGTAGAAAATAAACAATTAAGGGTCCATATTTAAAGCATCTTGCTTAAATTGGCCTGAATAATTTTAACTTTGCTTCCGTTATAGTTGCCACTGCTTAAAAATGCAGTGACCCATCACCTGAAGCAATAGGTTCCTGCTTCCCCCGCTCTGCCTTTCTGTGGACATTGAAGCAGTGGCCACCCCGTGAGGATGCTTTGTGGATCAGCCTTTGTGTGCTAGAGTATTTCCTTTCAATTTAATCCAGTTAACATATTTTGAGTACACATGTTGTACCAGCATTCTGCTGAGCACTTTTACATGGATTTACAAAGTACTCTGTGAGGTGGGCATGATGGTCACAGTTTGACAGATGAGGAAACTGGTCTTCAGAGTGATTTGTAACTGGCCAAGGTACACAGCCAGTATTCAAATAAAAATCTGTCTAACATAAAGGTTGGTTGTCCATAGGTTTAGCTTTTATCCCAGAAACTAGGTCCTGCCTAGTCATAGAGCTTCCAAGACCATTTTTCTAGTATCCTCTGGTAACGTGGAGGTGGGTTGATATGTAGAAGCGTATTAGGTAACTGACTACTAAATCATTACCATATGTGTCACCCTCACCCGTGACCTCTTTCCCTGTAGAAAGTTATTCTACCCTCCCATCCATCTTTTGCATATATAGTCATCCCTTGGTATTTGTGAAGGATTGATGCCAATACTCCTTTCAGATACTAAAATCCACTGATGCTCAAGCCTGTCCTATAAAATGACACAGTATTTGCATATAACCTATGCACATCTTCCTATATACTTTAAGTCACCTCTTGAGTACTTACAATACCTAATACAATGCATAAATATCACTTCATTTGTGTGGATTCAACTTAGAACTTGGAATTTGGCATGTGGCCAACTCAAGTCTTATTTCTTGGAACTCTGAAATATTCTTTCTCCAAATATTTTTACTCCACAGTTAGTTGGTTGAATCTACAGATGCAAAATTCACAGATATGGAGCACTGACTATATATAACTAGGATCCCAAAGAAGCACCCTCCAGCCAAGGACAAAAATGAGTTGGTAAAATCACTAAGAGGTCTCAAAGACTTTTAAGTTTTATTCACTAGTTGACCTTGCTTGCTCATTTTCCTCTATTTAAAGTCCTACAGCTGCCAGGCTATACGATTCCAAATATTGCCATTACCCACTTTAAAAAACACAAAACTTCCACCAGAGTATGGTCAAGTAAATACAAATTTGGAGGTTTCAGCTGAGGATCCTGTGGTCCGTCTCAGAGAGATGACACGATTGCTGTGCTCACTGTTGCAGAATGTGCAGGTAGCTGGGAGGTGCTGTATGTTCCCTTTTCCAAATGGCTGAAATGAAAAAAATCTCCAAGGGTAAAGAGGTACAGACTTGACATTTTTTGTTTTATGTCAGTTTTTCAAGGATGTGGTAAGGAAAGTATCCACGTTACTTTAGAAAAATCCCATTTTCAGGTATCTTCCTCTTCTCTTTTGTCCCATTTAGTGCTTAACTGACATGTGGAAGGACAGGGGTATCAGGAACAAGAGGAGCTAAGACAAAGAAGGGAAGAACACCAGCCACAAGGAAAGAAGAATGAAAGAAGAACGTGGAAGACAGCAATGTGAACTAGAAGAAGGGAAGAGAATATTTATTGAGAAAACTCAATGTACCAAGAACTGCTGTGGAGATTCCGCTCAACTCAGAACGATTCAGTGCATAGACATTATTATTTGTCTTAGAAAAGTAAGAAAGTCAAGTATAGGCAGGAGACATCATGTGCCACTGCTAGTTAGGAGCAGTCTGGCCGCAAATTTCCTTTTTAATTCTAACTCAATTAATCACCCTAAAACTCCAGGAGGTAAGCCGTATTCTGCCCTTTAATAGAGAAGGGGAAACAGACTTTTAGTAGTCAAACATGTTTGTAAAATACTGGCTTTAATTTAAACTGCTCTCTTTATTATAGGACTTCCAGAAATTTTACTTTACTAAGAATGACTCTGCAAGAAGGGATCATATTCAGCAACATCACCTTGTTGCGCAAACTCATCGCTCACGAATCTTTATTTACTACAAATTATTTTTAGGACTTTGAAACTATCCAGAGAAAAAGAACAGTTGTTCAGCTAGCACTAGGTTAGTTCAAATCCAAAGCTGGCCCATGTTCACTATTTGACCTTAAGGAATGTATTTAAACTGTGTGAACTTCCATTTTGTCATCTATATAATAGAGGAAATAATTTCTGTTGTCTTCACATTGTAGGACAAGTAAATGTGCCCTACATACTCTTGTATGGTGGGTGAAATATCAAGAGCCTCCTTATTATGGCAGAGAGGAAGGTGATCTCCTTATTTTTCAGGTCCTGGGAAGCCCTTCTGTCCACTGAATAAAGCTTTCCATGGGGGTGGCAGTTGGTGAGGCAGCAGAATCCCAAAGTTAGCAAAAAACCATACCCATGATTGTTCAGCTCTCTTGGTAATTCATTGCTGAGGTCTTTTGTATGTAAACTCTGTGCCCATCTCACTTAGAGCCTAAAGTCCAGATAAGCTGCCCTGCTTGGGCTGTGTTTCACATTTATCTGCAAGTAAAGAAGCAAGTCAGCATTGGAAGACTCATTCTGGTTAAGAATTTAGAACATGTAGGTCTGTTTCAGGCACAGCCATTTACTAGCTAAGTGATCTTGGGCAAATTGTTTAGCTTCTTTGTGCCATAGTTTTCTTATTGGGATAAGGTGAAAATGAAATGATTGCTATGTGTAAAACATTCCTTCCCCCTGACTTTTTTTTTTCCAAAGATAAAATGAGTTCACTATTCAAATGGAAGATGGTGGCTGTAACTTCTGGCACATAGTAGGAATTCTCTGCTGTAATGTGCTCCTGAAGAAGGTTGTAATCTTGATAGAGATGTGGCTGTAACATCACTTTCTTTGCAGTAGCTATTCAGGTGAATGAAAAAAGTAAACATTCTTTGTCAGTCTGTGAAAGCCTCTATGTCCTTGGGCTTTTACTGATCGCTCTGCCTGCTCCACCTGGCTTAACCTGTCACTCCAGTTCATCTCTCAAGTTTCAGCCTTGTCTTCTTTCAGGCAGTCATCCCTATGCTCCCCGCTGACTGAGTCACATGACCCTGCTAGGTGACCCAGAGCCCTTGTTCTTCTAACACTTGCAAACACGTCACACTTACATGATCACACGTCTTACGTCTTCCCCAACAGACCTGGTCGGCTTCCCAAAAAAGCCCAGTGAAGGAAGAAACAACACATTCTTGCTCACCATTCTATCCCAGGTCACAGCACATGCCCAACAAAAAGTACAAATTTAAAAATAACCACAGATGAACAAGTGAATGAAGGTACATAACTTTCCCAAATTAATTAGTGACAACTAATATGACTTCCAAGATCATGTGCTTTCCACTAACCCTCATTAGCTACTAACAAAATTGTTAGATTATACAACGATGCTTGCATTTTACCAATCAGCTCATGCCTATGAACAAACCCACACTTATTGAATTCTATAATTGTTCTTGGGAAGTGTTTAAGGTCTATTTTGTTCTTAGGAGAAAAATTAAGAAGATCCTTCAGTTCAGTTTCATTTTAACAAAATCAGTACCCTTAATATGAAGTTAGAATTATATTTATGCTTATTCCTGAGGGGACTGCAATTTAATGAAAGAATGTGACATGCTAATAAGTAGTGTTTGAACAACATTACAATGCTATAATGGAGAAAGATATGAAACCCATATTGTTCATATGAAAACACTAATGAAAGGAATTTAAAGACTACAAAACTTTAAATAGACCATTATTGACATGAAGAAACTGAAGCAAGCATGAAACAGCTAGATAATCCAGGGAAGTTCCCATTGTCTTCCCTCTTAAGGCCATTAGCCTGCATTCAGTATTTAGTCATAATGAAGTCACGCAATCTTACATATTTGAATTACTCATGAAATATGTGAAAAAACATTTTGGAAGGGGGAAAGACATTTTAAACAAATACGATTTGCAGTCTTTATGTTACTAGTTTTGTGAAACTATCCTAACTTTTAGAACAGAATATAACACACAAATATAAATGTTGGTTTGAGTAGCAGAATATATTGTGAACACAGTTCTTAAAATATGAAAGTATCAAGTATTCAGTTGTGGCACCTGGTTTTAAATATAAGACTTGTTCAATTTGAATACACCTTTTGTGGTTTGTTAAACTCTGAAAGTGTTTACATTGTAAGGATTCTTCAGCAGCTGAAGTCTGAGCTTAGGTTGGGATGGTCAGGGATTGGGTTAAGCTCTTTCACCCCTGCTTCCTACAGATCCTAACGACTCACCCTTACTTAAATTTTTTTAACCACTTTAACCTTCTTTAGAAGATAGTATATCATATTAGAAAAAGTGTGGACTCTGGAATCAGACAGATCTGGGTTTAAATCTCAATTCTGATGGTTCCTAATTAAACTTGGCATCATATACTTCTTTGATATTTGTCTCCATCCTTTCTCCATGTGAGGCTCTATATAAATGAGATAAAATATGTAACTTTCCTTATCATAGTAACTTAAAAAATGTTAGCTACTTTCTAGCTGGAGGTTCACACAAGTCCGCTTATGCTGATAACTTCAATGAGTAAAAATGGGGAAAGCGTGGATACATACAGAAGTGGGAGCTCTGGAGAAGTGGGAAGTATAAGACCAGTCTAGGAGAAACAGCTGTTGCTCATCTCTGGCTGATTGTTATTTTTAAGTGGCAATTAATTAAAAAACACAGTTTGAGTCTCTGCTGCCACTCAACATGGAGTAAAAGACGACAAAACTCACTTACCTATTTGAAACAACTAAAAACAAACAACAAAAAAACAAACTATGAAACAACATTTTTCAGGAAATTGGATCCCAACGAACAAAGAACAAGGACCCTCCCTGAAAGATGGTTGGTAAGCAGATGAGGTGAGCACTGTGATTACCAAAGTCTACTGTTTGGGGAGTTTCCAGCAAAGGATAGCCTGACAGTCTCTCTGACTCAAGTCCGGGGGAGGCCAAGGTGGATAGAGCTCACAGAACAGAATAGCACATGTCTCTGAACACATGGATGTTATTGTCATAATTTTGTTGTCAGAATGAAAGTAATATACATAAGATCACATAGCACCTACACATAGCATCTACACTTAGCAGATGCTCTCTTCACTTATTTTTCCTGGTTTAATTTTCTTTTAAAATCCTATTCGATTAGAGCCTCTGCCAATCCTTATAATAAAGATTACTGAGCATACATTTTGTATCAGGCATTGTTTTATGAACCTTATATGTAATAAGTTTTTTAAACATTTGAATACAGTATCAATTATTAAATATAAAAATACATTTTCAAGTATAAATGGCATAGACGGTCTACATACAATGTCTCATTGAATTAAATAAACAAATTCATGAATTATTTAACTGGTCTTTGTATAGAAAAGTCACATATTTTCACATTGGTTTTCTCTACCACACCCAGAAGTCAGCATTCCATTTTCAGCATAAATATTTCCACATGCATATGAATGATTCCACATTCTCATTTCCTCTCATGCCTTCAGATCTTTAAACACTCTAAAAAGAATAATTTGTAACCATACATTATAACTGGAAGACTTTTTTACTCAAGTTTTCTAACACACCCAGGGTGCATTGAATTTTGAGTGATGCAATAGAATGGATTTGAGTTCTGGCTCCATCAGCAATTCACCAAGTCATCTCGCCAAGCTGAGAAAGCTGCCCTTGTGAAACAAGGATGGTAGAATTCATGAAACGAGGCAGCTTTGAATACTGTGAGATAATTCAGGTGAAGTGTTAGTACACGGTAACTATTTAAAAAATGTTAGATATTATATTTATTATTTATTTACTAACTCTCACAATACTGTCCTTCTTGTTGGTTGTTTTGTGAATTATGGTTTATTTAATTCATGCTGGCTGCTACAAAGTAAGCATTAGATGGCTACAATTGTGCCAAACTCTTGTTGGATACTTTTCCTGAGTTCAAGGTGGAAGTTTTCATGCCCTGCTTCCCTGTAGAAAGAATAGCATATTTCCAGAGCCTTTGATTAAAAAATTAATCATCTCAAAATAGCTCAGTCCAAATAAAATGTAAGCGAGCACTATTTCATATTTGATATTTAGAGCAAATGCTGTGGGTTGAGTATAAATTCAAAGGTATAATTAGTTATCCTTAACTAGTTCTTAATTGTACATTAAATTAATTTTTCAGTGAAACTATGTTCTTTTTCTTTTTCCAATTATGAGCTATGATTCAGGGAGACATTTTCACCTCTCCGTTATCTATGCTTTTAGAGTCTAAAATACCTGCTGACTTATTAGCTTCACCTATTAGTATCTGCACAAGAGATTATGTCGGTCTGTAATTTTTATGAGAGCATGGTTAGAGTAGTTCTTATATTTCCTTCCTAAACACAAGGATTTCTAATCCTTGGAAGACTCGAAGACCCAAATAGGTTAAGAGTCCTTTTACATCATAAAGTGTTAAGTGCAGAATATATCTGCTGCAAAACATAGCATTGATTCAAATCATTCAAATACACTTTTCTGAAGATGCAAGTTTGACCTGATTTGGGTAAATGACTCAAGAAAACTTAAAACTTTATTGGTCTAAAGATGTCTTCCAGTATGGCTAAGTAAAGACACAGATAGGATAAAAGTAAATGAATAGACAAATATCACACAACAATGAGCATAAGAAGGCCAGAATGAATAAATTAATATCAGACAAAATAGACTTCAAAACAAAGAGCATTACCAAACATAGACTCAGTCACTTCATAATGATAAAAGTCAATTCACCAGGAAAATATAGCAATTGTAAATGTTTACGCAATAAAAGAGCTTTAAATTAGATGAAGGAAAATTAAAGGGAGAATGAACATCTCCAGAATAATATTTGCAGATTTTAACATCCAACCCTTAGCAATTGATACAATAATTAGAAAAAAAGTAAAAACATAAAAAATGAGACTAACACTACTAATTCCCTTGAAATAATAGATATTTATAGAACACTCTATTTCACACCTAGAAAATACACATTCTTTCCTAGTGTTCATGTTATATTCACTACGATGAGCTATATTCTGGTCTATGTAGTAAATACATTTAAAAGGATTTAAACCATAAATAATATGTTTTGTGACTACATTAGAATTGAACCAGAAATCAATAACAATGAGATAGCTAGAGTATCATATTTTCAAATTAAATAACATACTCATAATACTTAGATATACTTAAAAATTTAAAAATAAATCCCGAGGGTCAAATAATAAAAGAAGAAATCATAGGGAAATTAGAAAAATTTGTGCCAAATAACAATAAAACACAGCATTTCAAAATGTGTGTGTTGCAGCTAAAGCAATGCTTTGAGGAAAATGTATATGTTTAAATGCTTAAGTTGAAAAGCAGATCTAAAAATCAATAACCTAAGATTCCAATTTAAGCAGCTTAAAAAAAGAAGAGTATAGTAAACTTAAAGTGAGTGGAAGGAAGGAAATAATAAATTAAGAAGAGACATAAATTAAATAGAAACCAGAAAAATAAAGTAGAAAGCAAGTTTGTTATTTGAAAGTATCAACGAAAGTGTTACATCTTTAGTTACACTGATGGAGTAAATAGGAGAGAGAATATAAATTGCCTATAATAGAAATTAAATGTAAAGTCTAATATGTTAATTTTATGAATAACATTATGCCAGGAAATTAGACAATTTAGATGGAATGAAAATATATTTTGAAAAATAAAACTTATCAAAAGTGACTCAAAATGAAACAAAAATATAAATATTTTGATATCTGTTAAATTAATTGAACTTGTATCCAAACTCTTCCCACAATATAAACTCCAGGTTCTGATCATTTAATTGTGAATTATATCAAACATGTAATGATGATATACTATAAACCCTTTAAAATTTCTTTTAGAAAATAGAGGAAGAAAGACATCTCAACTTAATGAGGCTGACATAGTGCCAATATCATGACTGGACAAGGACATAATAAATATAATTCCTCTTATGAAAATAGGTACAAAATGCTTGGCAAATTATTATCAAGTCAATTTTAACAATACCTAATAATAATAACACATCATAATTACTGAAGTTTATCTCAGTAATTGAGGGTTTATTTAACATTTACATTTACCATTTACAAACCAATCAATCTAAGTTATCATGTTGAAAGAATAAAAGGTAAAACAGGGATATGATTGTAATAATAGTTCTAGATGAAGCATTTGTTAAAATCCGACACTAGTTATGTTAAAAACTCTCCATGAATAAAATATATCGTCCTCAATCTGATATATGGCATTTAGAATTATCTTCTAGCTAAATCATACTTAGTTGTTAAATATTGAACACTTTTCTTTAGGATCAGTAACATGACAAAGGTGTCACTTCTTGCCACTTCTAGTAATTATTTTACTGGAGGTGCTAGGCATTCTAATCAGGTAAAAGTCATAATAATAATAATCATCAAAAGACCAAAAAGGAAGGAAGCAGTTATACCATACTGACTTGTAAATGACTTGGCTGTTTTTTAGAAAATTCTAATAACTGTATCAATTACTAAAACTAATGACCGAATTCAGCAAGATTATAGGATACGAGACTAATATACAAAAAACCAATTTTTACATTCTAGCACTGCACTATTAGAAAATTGAAATAACACATTTATAATAGCATTAAAAACAAAATAGGAATAAATCTAACAAAAGGATTTGCAAGACTTCTACATTGAAAACTATGAAATATTGTGAAGCGAAATTAGAGAAGATATAAATAAATGGATTTGAAGGCTCAATGTTGTTAAACTCTCAATTCTACCAAAATTCCAGAAAGCTTTTTGTGGGGAGAGTTACACATTGACAGATTAATTTTAAAATTTATATTGAAATGAAAAGCACCACGAATATCCAAATCAATCTTGAAAAAGATGAAAAAGCTTGGGAAGTTGACCCTAACTGACTTTAAGACTTATTGAAAGACTACAATAATCTACAGAGTGTGGTACTGGCATAGGGATAGACCGATCAAAAAAACGGAAGAGTGACCAGAAATAGAGCTACCTTTATAAGGTAATTAATTTTGGGGAAAGTTTACCAAAGTAATCCAATGGAAAATGAAAATTTTTTAACAAGTAGAGCTAAAATCACTGGATTTTGATGTAGGAGACAAAATGATATTAACATCCAATACCATATATACAAATTAATCCAAAAGGGATCATAGGCTTAAAGAGGTAAAAACGTAAAACTTTTGGTGGAAAATAGAAAATATATTTATAATTTGGGGGTTGGTAAGTATGTTTTATACACGTCACTGAAAATGATAGCCATTAAAAATCTCTGATTAGACTTTACTGAAATAAAAAAAAAACTTTTGCTCATCAAAAAATACCATAAAGAAAATGAATGGCAAGCTACAAACAGGAAAAATAATTTGCAAAACATATTTAACAAAGGATAGTGACCAAGACATATAAAAACCTCCACTCTTAGGTATTTACTCTGGACAAATATGCATAAAAACAAACATTCATAGAAGACTTGTACAATAATTTTTATAACACCTTTATTCGTTATAACTCAATATTGGTAACAGCCTGGTAACCTTCAATAGCAAAATGGATAAACAAACTCTGATATGTAATTGAGTACTACTCACGAATAAAATTACTAATGCATTCAACAACGTGAGTGAATCTCAAAAATATTTTGCTGGGTGAATGAAGCCTTACACAAAAGATAAAATACTGTATAATTCCATTTATATGAAATTCTAAAACAGGAGACACTTAGACAGGGTGAAACAATTTAGGATATTGTTTGTCTTTGGGAAAGGGTATGATGGTAATATTTCATGTCTTGATAGGTGTTTGGGTTACCCAGGTGCAAACATTTGTCAATACTAACTGAATGTACACTTAATTATATATTGCATGCAAATCTTACATTAAAAACTGTAAACAAATATTGAACTCAAGTTAATATTATGCATCCCGAATTAGGGAGAAAAGTGTTCACATCTGCAATTAATTTTGAAATGTACTGAAACTCAGATGGATTAGTGAATAGAGGGATAGTAGATATACATATATCTAATAAATCAAGTAAATAAAATATTAATGGCAGAATCTAGGTGGTGGTTATATAGTACTTATACATTTTTTCAATTATGGTATGTGTTTTAATGTTTTCATTAAAAATTTTGGGAAAAAAACTCTTTTTGGTCTTTTGAATCTTATCAAATTATAGCTCCAAACAAGAATATTAGTTCAACTTCAGAAATATTTAGAAAAGAAATAAAATTGAATATTGTAAGCAATTCCAACTGGTTTACTCACCCTTTACAGACAGTTTTTGGTGTTATTCTGTTTCCTGTCCATATTCATTTCATTGATAGTTTGTAGCGTTTGCCAAAACCTCCTCTTGAAATTCTTACTGCATGCTTCTTTTCCTTCCTCTTACTTCATGTCATTCCTTATTTCCTTTGCTGTCTCCTCTTCCTTCTCATCTCATTAAAAACAGTTTTTTCCTCAAGGTTCTGCCATTAGCTTTCTTTATTTACTCCATTAATATTTCTCAAAATTGGCCTTAGAATCACGGTGACTACTTTTTAAAAGTTCAGTCTCATTGCCCCTCCAGGCAGCTTCTGAATTAGATTCTCTGGGAGTCAGATCCTGGAATCTATATGGTTAACAAACTCGACAGGTGATCTTCATATACCTTGTTAACAGCTACTGCTGCACAAGCTTGCCCTTGGCAAGCCCATCAACGTGCATGGCTGCACCTGCCCTGTCTGGGTCTGCTGTTTCATTTGGATGATTACTTTGTTCTCTGCCTCTGTTTCCACGTTGATCCTTTTGTTTGGCCCTTTGTTTTTGTTTTTGTTTAACCATGAGATTAACATCCTCAAATAGTGCTTTAATGGTGTTACCCACCTTCACAGCTCCTGCTTGAGTTGACTAAGAAATGAATTTAACACTCCCCATTTGAAGCACCACCTGACTGGCCCAAATCTATTTCTATAGTTGTAAATGCTTCAGTTTCCTTTCCTTTTATACTCTATATTTCAGAAACATTCAGCCACTGGCTTTTCCCATATGTGTGCCTTGCACATTTGTGATTAGTTCCCAAAGGAGGAAGTTTGGTTTTATCCATTCAGAATAGCTATAGTTTTTCAACTTGCAATAACGAAATAGTTTCTATCTAGAAAACAATGTCATTATTATGTTCTGCAGGAAAACTTTATTTTTATATATCCAAAACTTTCTAATTTGTAACCCTCTTTTTCACATCAATATAATTGTTTTTAGTTAGCATAATTTTCAAATAATGAGAATGTCCTCAGAAACAAAGCTATGGCAGAACCACTTAATTATAATGGGCATGAGGGCAGGAACTGTATCTACATGGATCACCACTGCACTATCAGCACTAGCACAGTGCTTGAGACCACATAGGCTCTCCAATTGTGCTATTTGTAGCATACTTCCCAATATATAAAAATGCCACATCACATAATTTTAAAAAATAATGTATTAGATGTATAAAGTTTTTGACATAAGTTATTGTCCATAGTATGTTCTCAGTAAACATTAGCTCCTGTCTTTTTATAGCCAGAGGCATAGCTAGGCTCTTCCATCAGGGCAAACACGTTTGTGAGTGGGGTCAGGTGGGAGTAGCCTAGTCCAAATGTTAGAGAGGATAAGAGCAAATGCAAAAGGTTTCATTCATTGGCTCCAGTGTTTCAGAGTCACTGCTTTCTTTAACTTTACATTAGTCTTAACAACCACCAGGTCAATATCTTGCCTAAAAATTTCTGTTGAATGGTGACTGTGTTTGGAGGAAGACATACTCTCCTGTTTCCCCTCAAGCTAGATTGTGCCTATAACTAAACAAGGAGTATGTAAGAGCAGACATATACACCTTATTTCTATTATTCTTGAAATCTGTGGAGATCAGGGATCAAGTAGTAACATGGCAAGGAAAATGATGATGGCATAAAGATTTGCATTGATTCTCCAGACGCCAGTAACTGAGAACGTGCAGGCTCTCAATCAGGGTTTTGTTTAAATGCATGCAGCTTAAGAGATATCTATTAAGGCTCTTTGATAACTCCTGGCTTTAACAAGCACAGTTTCTGTAAACCAATACTAGTCAATTGTTGGCAGGTTGAAAATGCTAGGATTGGAGTTTTCAAAGGATTGCAAGAAAAACAGGGTTGACTTCACCCACCTAGTCTACCTTGCTTCATCTTCAATTCAATTCAAATACATAGATATTTACTAAGCAGTTCTATGTGCAAAACACTGGGCTGAATGTCAAGTATCCAAGGTAAGAGAAGTATCTGCCCGTAAGCGACTGGAGGAGCAGACTATACAGAGTTAATCACACCACCAAATAGACTGTGATAGATTCAGTGATGACAGGATGATAACTCTCATTTCTGGAGTGCTTCCCAAGTGGCAGACATTTGTCTAGATGTTTCACAGGGATTAAATACATACCATGCAATCATCACAAATCCCTACAGAAAGTGTCACTAATTACCTCATTTTGGTGATGGGGAAACTGAGGTATTGGGTAGCTAAATACTTGATTGAAGTCACATAGCTAACAAGTTGCAGAGCTTGAATTTCATGTCAACCATTTTATCTCTAAAGCCTAAATGCTGAGGGGGCACAACAGAGTGATTAATTCTAATAGAGGGTAGTGAATAAGAGTTTTGCAGTTGAAATGGCAGTTAGGTAAGAATTAGGAGCATGCCATAGTTAGGATTTGGATCTCTAGAGGACTATAGGGTCTATAGTTTTCTAGGAAAAAGGGGCATGAAAGGCGGCAGGGATTTCCTGAGTAAAGTCATGGATCCACACAAGCGAATGCATGCATGCTGGATATTTTCATTTGCTTCTCCAGATTCCATTTCTATTCTTCCCTGCCCTGCTGTGTGCTCTGGGAAGATGATTTTCACAAACCTAGTTACTCAAGCTCCTACTTGGCCAATAGGAGGCACCAACAGGAAAGCAAAGGGTGAGAAGATAGCGCCTAGGACTTATTTTTCCTGCTACTCCCCGGGGGACCAGGGTTTGGTGATGTCTGCACTTCTGTGCTGAGGTCCAAAATTCTGACGGGCAGCTTCTTTCCCACAGCCACAACTCCTTCCAAGTTCTCTACCCATACTTCTGTCACTTGCCCATGCACCAAACTCTTCAGTTACCCATTTAAGCATCCCTCTTTCCTGATGTAGGTTGTCTGACAGAGCATGCTCAGGGAACAGAGCATGGTTAGATATGCTCTTTGGAATGATAACTCTGGCCACCATAGTGTGAAGAATGGACAAGAAGCTTCCCAGTTCTGAGGCAGAGTGGAAGTTCATGCACCAAAAGGGTCAGATGAGAAAAATAGAGACCCAAACTAAGACAGAAGTGTTGAGTAAGGTGAGAGGGGAGAGAAGGAAGCTTCATCTATGGGATGTTGTGATGGCATGGATTTGTAAGTTGAGGAAGTGAGGGAAATCGGGGATGACTTTGTGCAGCCGAACAGACAGCCTCAGAGCTGCAGAAGTTACACACTGGGCCAGCCAACAGGAAGCCCAAAGAAAGGATCTTGCTGCTGAGAGAGTTTGGGCAAGACTGACACTCTGTTTTTCTTCATTTTCTTTATCTAGGGCATGGGGGTGGTACTGTTTTTACGCTCTCTTAGGATTTCTAGAGATTTTGCAGTTTTCAGCACTCTGACTTCTTAATGCAGCCTGAAAACAACTTTGTGAAGTGGGCAGGCCAAGTAGTACCACATCGATTTCATAATTGAAAAAGTTGAGTTTTGAAGTGATAACATAACTAACTTCCCCATGACCATATAGCCAATCAATCACAGTACTAGGATGATAACTAGTAATTCCAATATTTTGCTTCTGCTGCCTCCTAGATTCCTGTTTCTCAGGGTTCTTAATAACCTCCCAGGAGATGTTGGGTTAAGAATGCTTTGCAGTAGTGCAAGGGTTCTGCTACCAAGGTGTTAAATGCAACAGAGAGTGCCCTGCCCCCTTTCTACATCAAGATAGTACTCCTGTCTCCATAAGAAACTATCTCAAATGATGGTTAGATCTTGAAAGGGGCTAAATTCCAGAGAGTACTTAAGTCTCTGAATCTCTATTCACAAAAGGGACATCTGAGAATATACAGCTAACAACAACAACAAAAGCAATAATAATAATACACGTCAATCCATAATAGTAATGGAGATAACTCAGCTTTTAAGAATTTGCCATGAATAGTGAATTAGATGAGTAAAAAAAAAATCATCTGCTCTGAGATTCAAGAACTCATTAAGAGAAGTGGGTATTCCCAAAAGAATATCCAGTTTTCTCAGAGTCAAAAGAGCTCTTTCAGAATCTTGTATCTGATACTGTAACATATCAAATTTGGGGGTAAGGGGTGGCATTGTTTTTATCAAATAGCTCTATGAAATTCACTCATTCATTGTTCATTCATTAATAAAACAAGCAAATTAAAAAAGCAAAAAACATTAGGGTGATGTAACAAAGAGAACCTAATATTAAGTGATAAAGGGCTTTAGTGATCAAAAAGTACAGAAAAGTCAGGGAAAACACATCTGAAGATGTTTCTGTAATGCAGAACTGTTGCATGCTGATATCCACTGTGACTCTTATAGGAGTGAGAGCAATAGTATACAATGATTTCCAAACATATTTGTCCCCAGAACTCCTGTTTTATAGAATGTAGCTTAGGAGATGCTAAGTAGGTACTCCTCCAGGTGTCTGGTGGCCAATTTTTTAGTGCATAATAGAAATGGAGGTTATATTTAATATTTGGTGAGCTATTCCTTGGTGTCAAGCAATGTGCTGGTATATTTGCACACATGATCATTATTAATTCTCATTAAGCTCTTTAAAGTAGATGTTATTGGCCCCAGTTTGCCCACGAGAACACTTAGGCACTGGATAACTAATTGGTACAAGGTCACATAACTATTAAATTGAAAGAACAGAAATGGAATGATGTTTTCTCTGTAAAGCCCTTACTGTTTCTGGGACATCAGGGTTATCGCACCTTGTTAGTTACAGAGCAGAGCTGGAGCTTTGGTTTCATTCTTTTATAATTTTCTCAAAAATGTAGTTGCCAAAACATTTCATATGCCAGCTCTCCTTGCCCTACCCTTTATCCTCCAGGTTTCACTCAACTCAAATATAATCAATTAGAGAGACATCCTGAAGCCCAGCACTCTTTTGGACTTCCCTCTTTACCTGTCCACCACTAGGCTGAGGATCCTTGAGAACAGTGACCACTACATATTCTTGAGATCCTAATGTTAAGTTCAATGGTTGGGTCTGTTGGCAGAATGAATGCCCAGATTTTGTAGGTTGAACCACAGGGTCAGATGTTCTTTGCATCCACACAAACTGCCTCTGCTACCCTTTACAGATTAGTCTCACTTTGTTTTCTTAAGAGTCCAAGAATGGTTTGTTACTCACTTCTTTATGGTGACCACTTCTAGAGCAAGAGAGCTTTATTATTTCTATCCTATCAGTTCTGAATAAGAAATAAACATGACTTCAATTTGATTCAATTCAATTCAATTCCAAGTCCATCTAATCGAATCCAATATAATTTAGTATGTCTAACATCACCTTGCATTGTTTTTGAATCCATGATCATCTCCTCAAAAGCAAGGATTTTATCATTGTTGTTTCCTCAGCTCTGAGCACAGTGCATGGCACTTAGTAGGCCCCAGTGTTGTTGAATGAATGGGTAAATGCATTCACGACTGAATATATAATGTGCTTAAGAAAAGAGTCAGCACTGAAGTAAAGCAAAACAAACAAACAAAAATTAATTCTTGGAACTACCAGTTACTAGCTATATGACCTTGGGTGAGATATTTACATTCTCTGAGCTTCAGTTTCTTTATCTCTAAAGTGCAGAAAATAGTACTCCCAGAGAGTGACTACTTGGATAAAATGAGATAATGCAGGGAAGTGCTTACCCATAGTGCCTGACACATAGAGGTTAGATTTTGTTGTTTTTATTGATATGGTTGGTACAGATTATATTTGAATGGAAGAATAAGTGAATGAACAAATGAGTGAATATTTGTTCAGCGCCTGGATGCAGTGCCATTGGCAGCCATGGACTTCAGGAGTAATGCTGGCCAGTGCTGGTGCTACCTTCCTGTCCTAGCTCCATCCATTAATGTGTCTGAGGGAGCTGTCTGAGACTCAGAAACATAAATAGGCTCATTCATGCGGCTTGAGTTCAGAGTGAAGAACAACCTAATAAGTTACTGTTTTAAAATATATATGAGTATATCTATTCCTTTCTTTAGTATTCATAATAGTTGTGATGTTTTGCATGGTTTAAGATATTGTGGCTGATATCCGTAGGAAATGAATGCTAATAAGGTGTGTGGAATAAAACTTGTAGGGTTTTTCTATTGTTCTCTGGCTTTTATGTTGTACAGGACAACTGGCCACCTACAGGCCATTGTTGTCTTGTCCTACAAGTGCTCAGCTTAGAGTTCCAGGAAGAAACTGACATTGGCTCTTAGGATTTATATTCCAAATATTGATTTTTATTGAACAAAATAAAGCCCAATAATTAATGCATTTGCACCATTTTCAACATTACAATTAGAGATGGCAAATATCATTACATTTTACAGTGCTTTGTATTCAACAGGTGTTGAACTAACGTGTAACGATTTGATATTAATCAAGGCTTGATTTTTCATGTGTAAATACATGCATGCTACCTTATGTTGGTTACTTCTCTTTTAATATAAATCTCCTACCTTCTCTATTAACTCTGATTTCTCTGCTGACAACTTAGGTATAGTAATGTTTAACTCTATGGGTTGTCATGAAAATAAAGAGCTATTTCTATTTATCTAGAGCTTATATAGTACCACAATGCTTCACAAATATTAACCCTATTTGCCCAGCAATTTTATGAGGCAGATACTATTTTTGTCCCCACTTTATGGATGAGAAAATTGAGTTGGAGTGATTTACCAGCTGACCCTAGTTCACATACTTAGCTGGGGTAAAGAAACTAGCAAAGTTCTTGATGGATACTGGAACAATTATAAGTTATTGTGTTCTTGCTATGCCCATGGCTGATGTCCTAAAGCCCATCATTTCATGTGGTTGTAGCCTCACCTTAAAAGAACAAGAATATAAGTGCCATATAGATGCAGGAGAATCAACAAAGCCCACATATTTGTTTTGATTACAACACTATTTCTTGGATTAACTCAGCAGCTCCTCAATTTGAAAGCTCATAATGAGTTTGACTGAAGCAGCTAAAAGTAACCAAACTTTTTCCTGCTTGGTGCTGCCCATCTCAAAAACCCAGAAAGCAGCAGGGACTCAGGAGAATAAAGTTCAGGGAGGTTAATAACGGTGACCAAGATTTGAACTCATGTCTGTCTAGCTACAAACCTCATAGCCTTTCCTTTAAAGCACAATAAATTATGAAAGGGGCAAATGGGTCATTTAGTGGCTTTCAATTCCACAACACATGGGATTTCTACAATTCCCTCTTGACTAACAGTGTGAATCTACTTGTTCCAGATTTTGCTATAGATGCTAAGGACACAAAGATGAATGAGATATAGTCCTCTAGAAATAATTTTTTTAAGTTACACTCCAGTGGGGGGCAGAGACTGTCGGTCTTTACCTCTTTCAGCCCTCCCCACTCTTTAGCACTGAAGATATTTACACAGCTGACTCAGCCAAGAATAGCCTGGTCTGGTAGAAAGAGAAGACCTCCGTGTCTCCAGCAGGCAGGTTCTGGCATTAGTCTGGCTGCTGTAAACTGATTTCCCTGTGTCTAAAGTAATCCTAAGCATTCCTATACCCACCAAGTGAATTCATTTCCTCTTATCCTTATTTCTTCACCTTTCATTCAGTTTATGCTTCCTGAATGCATCCCAAGTCTCAAAATGGAGCTAGAGCCCTATCCAGAGCTCCTAATTCACATAACTCAGGCCAGTCCCTCTTCTCGCTCATTGACTGCTTTCTAAACCTTCAGTTGTCAGCTCAGCATTATACCAATCTAGGTAAATCGTGGAGAAGACTGACAAAATTCCTACCACGCTGGACTACAAATGCCATCCTGTATTTGTTTTCTGTTACTGCCTAACAATTTACCACAAACTTAAGCGATTCAAGCAGCACATTTATTATCTCAGAGTTTCCATGAGTTATGATTTTGGGAGATTTTAGCTGGACGTTCTACTCAGGGTCTCATAGGCTAAAATCAAGGTGTTGGCCAGCTGCTTCCTCATTTAGAAGCTCTACTAGAAAAAGGTTCATTTCCAGGCTTACTCAATTGGTTAGCAGAATTTGTTGCCTTGCAATTGCAGGATTGAAGTCTCCACTCTCTTAGTAGCTATGACTCAGCCCCTAGGGGCCACTCTCATGGCCTTATGGGCTCCTTCAACCCAGCAATGTAGGAGCCCAACACTGCATTATCAAATTTCTTTTATTATTCCAATCTCTCTGACATCCCCTTCCATGGCCAGAGAAATCACCCTGCTTTCAAAGGGCTCATGTGATTAGGTCAGGCCCACTCAGGTAATATCTTTATTTTATGGCTGACTATGATACAACAAAACCCAATAATGAGAGTAAAATTCATCACACTCATCCAGAGAGTTATACTGGGCATGTACAGTGGGGGTTTGGGGGTGGATGTCATGGGAGCCCTCTTAGAGTTCTGCCCCCACATACCTCCACCTACAGATCCTGGCTGCCATGTCGTACTCACCACTTAAACCCCTCAGAGAATGATGCCAAACCTCATTAAGGCCAAATTTGTGATCCTTACCACCCACTCTTGTAATCTGAGATTTCGGCAGGTGGCTCCCACTGGGAAGTCAGCTTCCATAATCACTCAGCCCCTTTAATATAATGCAGATTGTCCGCAGTTTCTTCCTCTTTCCTGCAGTTGCCTCACAGCTGAGCCAGCATATGCAATGAAAGTCTGGTAAATACAGAACAGTGTGATAAAGGCTACCTGACTTATATAAAGGTAAGGCCTTGGATAGATACAGTGCAGCAAATTGGATTCTGCCTGATAAAAGAGGAGTTGGGTGGGAGAAGTGTCGGCAGAAGAGTGACAGTTGTCATGAACTTGTTTTAAAGGATTAGGATTTTTATTAGAGGACAGGAAGAGCATCAATGGAAGAGTCGGGGAAGCCCAAAAGTACAGAAAACAGTAGTGGAGGGCTAGTCTAGAATGAATGGAAGGGAGTGTTTGGATTGCAGACTCAGTGATCAGATGGAAGTTAAGCAGGGGGCTTATACGTTGTGTTTAGACTGGAATTTACCTTTCAAGTGAAATATAGTCATTAAAAGTTCTCGAGTAGGGGAATGACATGATCAGATGTGTTTTGAGAGTAATCATCCTGTGGACAAGGTGGGTTGATTTAAGATGGGACCATTTAGGCCAATAGAAGAGTAGTGATTGGAGAAATTGGAGAAGAAAAAAATGGTTAAAATACTCATTTTGGAGGTAAAATTGAGACAGATCATGAAGGCTATGAGTATGGAAGCTCAGATAATTCTGCTAACCTACTGCACAATTGCATATGCCTATCACATAAATCATTTAATATTCTTCTCTAAGCTTTGCATCTGTCTATCTGCTTTCCTTAATAATCTACATGAACTCCATGCTTTTCTCCATTAGGTGTCAGATACAATTTTTCACTCAGGCTAGACTCACTTCCACATGGATTTACAGCAAGGTGAACACTTTTCTTCTTTTCATGAACCCAGCATTATGACCTCTCCTCTCACTCCTAAGATCTCCCAGGATGATTTAAGCAACCTCGAATGTGTCACTGATTCCAGACATCTTTTTACTAGCTTTCCAATGGGGTTATTGTTTAAGAAGCATCTGCTCATTGTTTAGGGACACTTACCTAACCCTGTGTCATAAAAATGACATTGATATTTATCAAAAACTTATGAGTTGGAAATATAATCTCTGGTAATAGAATCCAAAAGAGTGTGTACCTTTTGGAGGTTACTGACCATAAAGAGACAGAAGAAAACCTTCTGAAGTGCCAGAAATGTTCTATATTTTTAAACTGTGTGATAGTTCTATGGTTTTTATTGTGCAAAAATTTATCAAGCTATGCACTTAAGATCTGGGCACTTTCCTACATATGAGTTATGCCTAAATAAAAATAATATAGAAAAGAAAGAAAGAAAAAAAACATGTGCCTTTTCCAAAACTTATGTATAATTCTTGGAAGGTGGGTTTTATAATCTCCATTATTAAAAAAATTGAGGTTCAAGTTTATGTGAGTTCTCTAAAGTCACGTGGACAGCCAGCGATGGAGACAGAATACAACTCAAGTTGTTTTTTTTCCAAAGGCTGTATTCTTTCAACTACAAGACCAAGGGTTTTCAAGATTTACCTCTGCCTTGATTTTTTTTTTCTCCCTGGAATACAATGACCTCTGGTCATGTATATATCCCTCCAAGGTGCATGTTAGATTTATTGTATTCTGATATGGGTGGCTTAATGAGGTCACACCCCCTTGCACAGGGGCAAAGTATCATCTTTATATTAGCTATCCCAGGGAAAAGAAACCTCTCATATAGGAACCAGGAATCAGGAGTAAGGTCTTAGCCTGGCAAGAATGGAAAGCCCTGCTTCTTGCAGTGTTCATCTTTTAGGATAAACACTCCTCAGAAGTAGAAGAGGGCAGCTTCTGACAGAAGAGGTTGGGAAGACCATGTCACAGAGGCCACAGTGTGCAAATCATTATACCGTGTTTCATAAATGAGATTATCTGGCTTATTTTCCCTTTATATTCCCTAGGTAATGCTTCTCTAAGTGTAGTAAAATCTTCTCTATCAAGATTCCTGGGCCTCACTTCAGACTTAACTAATCAGAATATCTGGAACTAGAATCATTTTAACAAGTTCCCTCAGGTGTTTCTTTTGAAGAACACAAGGTGTAAAAATCACCATCTAGAATTCAGGAAAGTGATTTGAGACATGCCATGTTATACAGTGACTCTATCTTAAAAAAGTGTTATCTCCCCTCTGAGTTCAAATGGAGTTGACTATAGTCAGAAACCCCTGAGAGAAACAATAGAGGTTCTTTGAGGCCAGACTCCTAAACTCATCACAAAGATTCTTCAACCTGTACCAACCTTAAAGATCTGGATTTCTCTTCTTCTTTGGAGATACCCAATGTAAAATTCATTCTTTTGTAAGGCTTAGTTTTGGGCAAACACAATGTCATGTAGCTACATACAGTCAAGATATAGAATGGTTTTATCACCCCCTAAATTCCCTTGTGTCCTTTTGTAACCTACCTCTATCCCCACCTGCCATCCCTGGCAACCATTGATCTGATTTCCGTCTGTTTAGTTTTACATTCTCCAGAATGATGATTCTCTGTGTAAATGTAATCATGTAGCCCTTTGAGTCTAGCCTCTCTCACTTTCTTAGCATAATACATTTGTTAATCCAGAATCCATGTTGCTGTGTGTTTCAGTTGTTCATTCCCTGTTATTGTTGAATAGTATTCCATTATACAGATGTAACAGTTTGTGTGATAAAGGAGGAATTGTTCTGGTTCAGGCATTTGAGGCAGGGAGTAGTGGGCCAGGCAGTGACAAGGGTGTGTGATTAAGATCCCATAGTTTGAATGTGATTGTATGACATGGAACTGCCTCTGTACTGCTACCCTGTGACACTGTGAATGGAGAATAATCCTGAGATATCTATAAGCTAAGGGCAAGTTTTATGAAAATGGCTACAGAGTGTCAAGATAGACTATAAAGCTCCCTCTAATGATTATGACTACTTTTCTTATTTCCAGACACAACCAATTTTGAAGAGAGTGGGAAAGGAATACTACATGTCTGTTTTACTATTACAGGTTGCCTCATTATAGAAAGGAGGAAGTAAAAAGCACTAAAAGTGTAGTGTAAGAACAATGGCCTGCCACTTTCGATCTGTGAAGCGTGGGTCAGCTTTGCTACATGTTGGAGTCCCAGTTTGCCTCATCTGGTGTTTTGTTGTTGTTGTTCTGTTTAGCTTTCCTAGGACACAAAGATTCAGGTGAGGTAACAATGGTCAGATCCTGTGAAAACTCTGAATTGATTTGCATGTGTTAATTGCTTTTTTAGGCATTTGTACATATGTTGTATCTTCACTACAAATCTGTGCAACTCAAAGGTTGTACCTCTCCCACAGCACTGCCAAAAAGATAGGAACTCAAACAACCTTCAAAGGAATGGAAGAAAAAAAATCTATGTAACATTAAATTTACATTTAGGCAGTTAAATTTGAAAGTCATATTGAAGTAAATATTTTCCTAAATAATTTCAGGAATAAAAAGTGAGCATTTTGATTCTGTTGATTTTGGACAAGCTATACATTTTCTTCTTTTGCTTAAAACTTTCATATTTGGTTTTCATTCTAAAAACTACAAAGTCGATTTGTTAATTATAAATAAAAGATAAACTCGAAACCAATTTACAGTGTCAGTATAAAATCTCTTTGTTATAATTATAGTTTATACATTACATTTTTAATTTGGTAGAGTCAAATGCCCTAGTGTGTTAAATATCAAATCTTCTAGAATCCTGATGTGTGTGAAATACATTTAACCCCTTTTAAAGATTACACAGACCACATTGGAGTCACTGTTTTTCTTGGTGAAATAATCAATACAAGGTAGTTGCAAGTTTAGAATACATAGCATATACACGGAGGGCTTTGTACATGTATTGAGGGCATACTATGAAGGGTTTATCTGGAATTCACTCTGGGGATAATAAGCATTGATAAAATAAGACATCTGCTGGCTGGACATGGTCACTTATTCCTGTAATCCTAGTACTTTGGGAGGCTGGGGTGAGAGGATCACTTGAACCCAGGAGGTTGAGGCTGCAGCAAGCCAGGACTGTGGCACTGCCTCTCCAGCCCGGGCAACAGAGTGAGACCCTGTCTCAAACCAACCAACCAACAAACAAATGACTTAAAAAAAAAAAGGACCTCTGCCTTCAAAGGACTCCCAGTCTGATGGTGTGTGTGCATGTGTGGTAGTTTTTGGGGGGAGACAAATAAATGAAAGGATAATTATGATTATACACATAATATTCTGTATGATAGATACAGACACAATTATATGAGAATACAGAAGATTGAATATTAAACCTTCAATGGTTGTGAGAAAAATGACCTGGTAAAGCCTCCTTTAGAAGCTAATAATATGTGGGTTAACTTTTAAAAATTAAGTAGCAACTAGGTGAACTACAACAACAAGAGGAATGATTTCTTGGCAGACTGCCTGAGTTAAAGACCTTGACTCTGCTACTCACTAGATAAATCACCCTGGGCAAGGTGTTTATTCTCTCTTCTCTTTGTCCCAGTTTCCTGGAAAACTACCCCATAGTATAGTCTTGATGCTTCAAGGAGGTAACATTTGTGAAATATCTGGTGCATAGTACATACCATTTAAAAAATTTAAATAAACAAATAAATAGGATGAGGGATCTGCATGTAGGGACATCTGAGTGAGGGGGAGCAGACTGTATTGACACCGTGCTTCGGTTCTTTTTTGCAAGAGGATAAGATGTGAGGACAGTTTGTCATAGATAGCTCTTATTATTTTGAAATACGTCCCATCAATACCTAATTTATTGAGAGTTTTTAGCATGAAGGGTTGTTGAATTTTGTCAAAGGCTTTTTCTGCATCTACTGAGACAATTATGTGGTTTTTGTCTTTGGCTCTGTTTATATGCTGGATTACATTTATTGATTTGCGTATATTGAACCAGCCTTGCATCCCAGGGATGAAGCTCACTTGATCATGGTGGATAAGCTTTTTGATGTGCTGCTGGATTCGTTTTGCCAGTATTTTATTGAGGATTTTTGCATCAATGTTCATCAAGGATATTGGTCTAAAATTCACTTTTTTTGTTGTGTCTCTGCCTGGCTTTGGTATCAGAATGATACTGGCCTCATAAAATGAGTTAGGGAGGATTCCCTCTTTTTCTATTGATTGGGATAGTTTCAGAAGGAATGGTACCAGTTCCTCCTTGTACATCTGGTAGAATTCGGCTGTGAATCCATCTGGTCCTGGACTCTTTTTGGTTGGTAAGCTATTGATTATTGCCACAATTTCAGCTCCTGTAATTGGTCTATTCAGAGATTCAACTTCTTCCTGGTTTAGTCTTGGGAGAGTGTATGTGTTCAGGAATTTATCCATTTCTTCTAGATTTTCTAGTTTATTTGGAACCTACAATGAACTCAAACAAATTTACAAGAAAAAAACAAACAACCCCATCAAAAAGTGGGCTAAGGACATGAACAGACACTTCTCAAAAGAAGACATTTATGCAGCCAAAAAACACATGAAAAAATGCTCACCATCACTGGCCATCAGAGAAATGCAAATCAAAACCACAATGAGATACCATCTCACACCAGTTAGAACGGCAATCATTAAAAAGTCAGGAAACAACAGGTGCTGGAGAGGATGTGGAGAAATAGGAACACTTTTACACTGTTGGTGGGACTGTAAACTAGTTCAACCATTGTGGAAGTCAGTGTGGCGATTCCTCAGGGATCTAGAACTGGAAATACCATTTGACCCAGCCATCCCATTACTGGGTATATACCCAAAGGACTATAAATCATGCTGCTATAAAGACACATGCACACGTATGTTTATTGCGGCATTATTCACAATAGCAAAGACTTGGAACCAAACTAAATGTCCAACAATGATAGACTGGATTAAGAAAATGTGGCACATATACACCATGGAATACTATGCAGCTATATAAAATGATGAGTTCATGTCCTTTGTAGGGACATGGATGAAATTGGAAATCATCATTCTCAGTAAACTATCACAAGAACAAAAAACCAAACACCGCATATTCTCACTCATAGGTGGGAATTGAACAATGAGATCACGTGGACACAGGAAGGGGAATATCACACTCTGGGGCCTGTTGTGGGGTGGGGGGAGGGGGGAGGGATAGCATTGGGAGATATACCTAATGCTAGATGACGAGTTAGTGGGTGCAGTGCACCAGCATGGCACATGTATACATATGTAACTAACCTGCACAATGTGCACATGTACCCTAAAACTTGTATAATAATAAAAAAAAAAAGATGTGAGGAGAGAAGATGCAAGCTATGGGGTGGAGAGTTAAATTGTAGGGACACTTGCAAACCCTTCAAAGGGGGTTGGGTTTTACCCTGAAGCTAATAAGAAGTAACCAAAGGCTTTTCAGTCAGGTAGTGACCTATAAAGGCAAGAATCAGGGAACCCAGTGAAGATTCTTTGCGATATAACCACTGATAAATGCTGGTGTCCTGAACTGGAGCGGTGAAACGTTAAGGAGAAAGAATCAACAAATCTTTATGACAGGAGTTAAACATGATTCCCGAGGGGCTGTTTTTGTGTCTCCGGGGTTGGAGGAGCCATTCACTGGAGATGAGAGGGGAAGAGGAGGAGGAGGAGAAGGATCAAGATGTGGCTAGAGTGGATGCTGTGGATTGGACCTAGCCTGTCTGGGAAGTCTGGGACGCCCAGGGGGCAACTGCTAACTCAAGGCCTGAATGGATGGTGTTCCTCCAGTCTTCCCAAGAGCAGAGGAGAGGTGATGAGCTGTTGGCTGCCTTTGATTTGGGTATGTGAACCTGAGAACTGACTATGAAAGTTGTGTCCTGTTCAGGGAGTAAGCCCAAAGCTGGATGGAGCTCAACAGAGAGCAGCAGAGTGGGATGGAGCCATGAAAAGTGGGGCTGAGGAATAAGGAAAAATGAGGATCCTGGAGGGTCTGTGAAGCTATCAGTGCCTGCCACATTCACAGGTCCCACCTGAAGATGCCAGCCCCATGAGGTTCTTTTGGAGGAGTCACTGTGGTTTGGGATGTGGATCTCAAGCAAAAATAAGCAGACTACCTGTCCTAGATTGATTAGACCATGGTCTGATGCATGAGCCAATGATGCATAACCTGGAAATGCAGAGGTTACTGCTGTCCTCCATCCCTACCACCATCCTCACACAGCTTGGAATAAAAAAGGTCACTGAGAATATTTGGTATTAGATAGAGGCATATGTATCCACTCATGCCCTCTTTTAGGGATAAATAGACAGTGCCCACAGATAGGGTATTTGGAACCATGGTGAGCTGCTGGGGGTCCAGAGTGTTTTTCCAGCAGTGAACGAGAAGACATTGACTTGCCTCATGCACCCTTGTAGGCATCCCATCAATCTCATTATTACCCACTTTTGTCAGAGGAGGAAACTGAGGTTAAATATGTAACAAGATTACAAAAGCCACAGAACAATTCACTGTGTAACTAGAACTCACAGTCTGAGGTTAAATTGCATATTTTCCTTCTATTCTAAACTACCTTGCCAATACTTTGATAAATATAATCAGCAGTCTATCATAAGTTTTATTAAAATGTCAAGAGGCTTACCAGTCAGAATGAAAATGCAGGATAAAACACATATTTGTAGGTTTTACTAAACCCCACACTGTTGGAATATAATTCCTACTATTCAACAAATCCGGGCTCACTCATCTCTGTTCTATTGTGCTAAGAACACAAAGCTATAGGAGGAATAATGTTTTCCTTTTTCTCTGTTCAAGCTCTGAGCTTAAAACTGAACACAGCATGCCACTTTTGCTACCAAAGCCAGGGAATTTGATAGCTACCACACAGACGCATTTTGCTTTATCTAAAAATATCCTCTGAGTTTGGAACAACTGGCTACCCTCTGCACTAAAAGTTTAGTTGCCTGTTTTTACTTTTCTGAGAAACCACAAATCATAATAAATAATTTTTATTTTTATTTTTTTAGTGGAACCACAATAACTTCTAATCTCTGGTAAGAACACATGAAAGAGAAGCTGGACAGACTGAAATTGGGTCCTGTGTTTTTCTGCTTTATCCTGCACTGAAGCTTTTAGGAGGTGAATGTTGGCATTATTAGAGGCCTCAAAGGCACACCAGTTGCCGGGATGTACATCAAGGAACAAAGTGAAATCTTTCCTGAATAAGTGATCATCAAATTACAGACCTGTCACCAGTGCTTCCTGGGAAGGGTCAGCACCTTTCCTTGTTCCCAGCAGACAAAGAATGTGTGACAGGCAGATCGATACTCCAGTTAACTAAACAGCTGGCTAATCACAGAACTGACAGCGTACAAAGGTAGGTTTGAAGACAATGAAATAAAAGTTCCTTTTTATAGAATTTTTTTTTTTTGGCTTATTCAACAGCTTGGTGAATTCTACTTTTTTTAAAATTTTATTTTCTTCGTTTTTCTTTCTTTCCCCCACCAGATGAGGCTGATAGTGATTCTAAGCTCAAATTTAAAAGAAGTGGGGATGCACCTCCCAGCTAATGATGTTTATATGGGGTGTGATTAGTTATGAATAAGGGGTAGCATAGCTGGGGAGGGAGGCTGACTGATTGATCAGCCTCCTGTGGATAATGGAGGGTGCCCAAATCAATTATTATTAACTAATTACTCTTCTCCTTTTGTCAGGATAAATTCGTTCATCCAATGTGTTTTCTAAGTGTGTCAGGTGAATTGCATTAAAAAGGATAAACAGCACTCTTTTTTGTATACTCTGTCGAAAATCTTAACAGCTTAATTGTTGTTCTGCTGATTGGAGAGGCAGTGCTATGTAGTAATTAAGGGAAAGGTCTGGGTTGCTCTGATTGAAAGTCTTCTCTATCACTTTCTAGAGCTGGGGCCTGGAGCAAGCTACTTAACTCCTCTGTGACACAGTCTCCTTAACTGCAAAATGAGGATGACAATAGGGTTGGTGTGACAACTTAAAAATTATAATATAGACTTATAAAAGACAAAAAAACAGTCATGTAAGGTGCTAGGCATGGTGACTGGCACATCGTAAGATGGTAAGCCTGCAACAATACAGTTTTCAATATTTCTTCCTTCCTTTTTTTTTCCCCAGTGACATGGGAGAGCCATATAAACATATAGGCTGCATCTATTTAATATAAAATATACAGATTCTCCAAAAATTATTTAATCAGTGATATCAATAATATCGCCTTCCCTCTATAAAGTGCTTAATGATTTTGAAGCACTTTCCTATCCACCAGCATTTTTAATTGTCACAACATTCTGCAAAGGAAATAGATTTGAGATTTCTATTACAGAAGAAGAAACTGAAGCTGAGAGAGGTTTTGTAACTTGTCAATGTATTCAGCCATAAGTTGTAAATTCAATCCAGTAAACTGGGTAAAACACTCAGACTCTGTAATCATATCTCAGTTTAAATCTTTGCTTCACCACTTCTTAGCTGTGTGACAATGGGCAACTTGCTTAACTTCTCTAAGCATCACTCTCCTCATCTACAAAACAGGGATACCAATCTATGCCTAGCTTACAGGGTTGTGGTGAGAAGTAACGAAATTAAATAAGGTGCGTAAAGAAAACAGTGCGTAGCATTAGTGCTCAGTATTATTATTGCGGTTGTAATCATTATTACTATCATTCTCATTATTAATTAGCCAAGTGCCCAGTAGGAGCACTCTTTATCTTTATTATCATAAAACTTGTCATCTCTCTACTTGATCATCCCTTCTTGCTCTTTCTTCTCTTACCCCCTCCTCCTCTTCTTTAGCCACATATCAAATGCAATCAGCATATGGGATATACAGTGTGAGCAACAGTTCTCTTATTAAAGAGGAACTGTTTGACATTTTTGGCCAAAGTTATTCAGCCTCTCATGAATCTGCCTTCTTGAGCATGTCTCCTTGTGCCTTAGGCTGGCAAAGTAGAGTTTCTCCATCTGCAAAGGAACTCAGATCTGACCCGTAACCATTGCGTCCTGAGATGCCATCTCTCCTAATTGTTCTTTATTTTCTTTGGTAACCTACCTGTTAGGTAGAAAGAATCTAACTCTTAACATCATTTGTGCAGCAGATATTTATTGAATCCCCATCACGTGGTAGGCCCTGCTTCTTTAAATTTCATGCCCCAGAGTAACTTCGCATGCAGAAGTGGGCTCTCCTCACCAGAAGAGACATAAGTAAAATCAGGTCCTCTGGTATTTTACAGGACACATACCCATATGCATGCATGTACACATGAATAACAGGAATATATAGAGACCTTTTTAAAAAAGAAAAAATATATATATACAATGAAAGTGACTTAGAAGCAAAGCTGTTCCCCTGCGTGGTGAGCAGGATAGGGAAAGGCAACCCTGGCACCTCAGAGGACCCTGCCAATGAACCCAGCTTGCTTCTTCAGCCTGCCCTTTGTGCTTCTTGCTAGTGTTCCTACCTCCGTGCCTTTCTGTAGGCTGAAACTTCCACTTGGGAAGCCCTCCCTACCCCCATGGCACCTGCCATCATCCTAGCAAACATCCCCTCTAGCTTTCATCACCATCTCAACATTCCAGTTGTCCTGGAAACATTTCCATTCTGTCTCTCTCAGCTCCTGCCACAAAACTAACCCTGCCCTCCCCTCTACCAGCACAAACTGTCAGTGGACACTTCTGCTTCAACTCTCTCTCACACTGGACTCTGAGATCCTGGAAAGCAGGGACTTTAATATTTGGATCTTTACCCTAGTAAGTGATTGAGAACAAATGAATGACAGGATGGAAGGAAGAGAAAAAGGAGAGAAGAGAAAGGAAGATGGAGAAAGAAAAGGGACCTACAACCATAGCTTATGAGACATTGCTTAAATGATGCCATGTCATGCCCAAATAACATTGAGTTAAGCTTGAATCCCCTTGACTATAGCAAAGAGTGAAAGAACTCAAAGTTATTGTAGTGTAAAGACCACGTTGCTATGTCTGGGGAGAAAAGAAAAAATATTCATGTGACAGAGACTGATTTGTTCTGCTCATGGAAGTAAGGAGATAGAAGATATTCTGGGCGGCAGCCTGACAAAGCCTGCCCTTTTCTGCAGAAATGACATTGCTACCAGAGGAGCATTCATCCATGGTGAAAAGGGTTAGGGGACCTACGCTGGTCATCATGCTGTCCTTGTCTCGGAGTATCAGAGACTGGCTACAGCTCGGGATACCAAAGGCACAAATTAGGAATTTCCTCAAGGATCACTTAGTAATAGACACTCATTATGCAGAAGTAATCACTGTAAACCAGAAAAGGTAAATGACTTGCTCAAGATCACACTGCTGGTTAGTAACAGAAAAGGATTTTTTACCCTATGCCTCAATGTGCCTTCTTCAGCAATAAGAAAGGAACCTAACACGCCTGCTCATCAATTATTTGTGAAAGGTTATTGGTATTTTATTTTACTCAGGTATTTTACTCTAAGAAACATAAAACCATTAAAGCAACATTGACTGTATGACTTTGTGTAAGGCACTGGATTATAGAAACATCTTTGTATGTAAGCAAGAATACAAGTTTCAGAGCCAGACAGGCTTTGTTTTATATTCCTGGCTTTTCTGCTGTTCCTCAGTGATTTGAGGCAACTTATTTGAGCCTTGATTTCCTTCCTGAGCACTGTACCCTTTCCCAAATGTGTGTTTGGAGTGAATAAAGATTAAAGGGTTGGGGCTCAGGTTGATCAAACCAATGTGATATTCAAGACACACAGCAGCTCTCATGGGCTCCAGAGGAATCTAGAATCTAGTCTAGAGTAGGTAATCTTCAAATGAGGTAACAGAAGAGAGGCAGGCTGATGAGAAACCTGTAGAGGAGTAAACAGCAAATCTCTGGCCGGGTGCAATGGCTCAAACTGTAATACCAGCACTTAGGGAGGACAAGTTGGGAGAATCACTTGAGGCCAGAACTTTATAACTAGCCTGGAAAACCTGAGAAACCTGTGATCAAACAAGGGCCTGAACCAGGCAGGCAAGTGCCAGTTCTGTCCAAGGAGGTCGTATCTACCCGCACTGGAAAAATGGTGGGGTGGTTCCTCTATGCTTATTTAGTGATAAAGCATCTTGAATATCAAAACGTACAGCGCATCTAGAATATCAATAAGAAGATGTGTGTAAATAATTTAAGAATAGATTTTAGCGTATATTAATAGGGTGAAGAACAATGAACATGATTTTCTCAACAGATGCAGGAAAAAAATTGGACAACATTCATCTTTTTATGATAAAAACTCTTAACAAATTAAGTACAGAAAAAATGTTCCTTGACACAATTACAGCCAGGTATCACAAGCCCATCATACTCAACAATGAAAAGTTGAAAGCTTTTCCTTCAGGATCGGGAACAAGACCAGGATTCTTACTCACACCATTTCTATTCAATGTAGTATTAGAAATCCTTGCCAGAGAAATTAGTTAAGAAAAAGAAAGAGAAAGTATTCAAATAGTAAAGGAAGAAGTAAAATTGTCTCTCTTTGCTGATGAGATAATCGTACATTATAAAAACCCTGAAGACTTTACCAAAACATTGCAAGAACTGATAAGCAAATTCAGTAAAGTTGCAGGATATAAAATCAATCAACATACAAAATCAGATGTGTTTCTCTATGCTAACAATGAACTCTCCAAAAAAGGAATTAGGAAAACAATCTTGGCCCAGCATGGCGGCTTACATCTGTAATCCCAACATTTTGGGAGGCTGAGGTGGGTAGATCACCTGAGGTCATGAGTTCAAGACCAGCCTGGCCAACATGGTGAAACCTCGTCTCTACTAAAACTACAAAAATTAGCTGGGCCTGGTGGCAAGTGCCTGTAATCCCAGCTACTGGGGAGGCTGAGACAGGAGAATTGCTTGAACCTGGAGGTTGTAGTGAGCGGAGATCATGCCACTGCACTCCAGCTTGGGTGACAGAGTGACACTCTGCCCCCTGAGAAAAGATTCACCCGCAACAAAGAAAACAATCCCATTAATAATAGCATAAAATTACTCAGGAGTAAATTCAACCAAGGAGTTGAATAATCTGTATACTGAAAACTATAAAACATCAATGAAAAAAAAATGAAGAAGACATAAATAAATGGAAAGATATCCCATGCTCAAGAACTGGAAGAATGAATATTGGTAAAACATCCATACTACCCAAAGTGATCTATACATTCAATGTAATGCTTATCAAAATTGCAATCATAGAAAATTCTAAAATTTGTATGGAACCACAAAAGACCCCACAAAACCGTAGCAATCTTAAGCAAAGTGAACAAAGCTGTAGGCATCACACTAGCTGATTTCAAAATCTATCACAAAGCTATAATAATCATAACAGCATAATACTGGCATACAAACTGACACATTGACACTTCTTCCTGCTCTAACTCTTTCCCACACTGGACTCTGAGCTCCTGGGAAGCAGGGACTTTAATATTTGGATCTTTACCCTGGCAAATATTTGAGAACAAATGAATGAGAGGGTGGAAGGAAGAGATAAAGGAGAGAAGAGAAAAGAAGATGGAGAAAAAGGGACAAGGAAGAAAAGGGACGTACAACTGTAGCTTATGAGATGTTGCTTAAATGATGCATGACACTAGCTGATTTCAAAATATATTACAAAGCTATAATAATCGAAATCACATGATATTGGCATACAGGCACTATAGGTGCACACCAAGCTAAAGTTATTTTTGTAGAAACAAGGTCTCACTATATTGCCCAGGCTGGTCTCAAGCTCCTGGGCCCAAGCAATCCTCCTGTGTCACCCTCTAGTGCTGGGATTACAGGCGTGAGCCACTGTGCCCAGCCTCTTAACCAATTTTAAGTGTATGATTTAGTAATGTTAGGTATATTCGTGTTGTTGTGCAACCAGTTTCCAGAACTCTTTAATTTTGCAAAACTGAAACTTTCTATCCATTAAACAACTCCCTATTCTCTCCTCCCCTAGCCCCAGACAACCACCACTCTACTCTTGATAGGAGATATGAATTTGACTATTCTAGATACCTCATATAGGTGGAGTCATACAGTATTTGATTGTTTATGACCAGTTTACTTCACTTAGTATAGTGCCCTCAGGATTTATTCATATCATAGCATGTGTCAGAGTTTTCTTCCTTTTTAAGGCTGAAAAGCAGCCTATTGCATGTAAGTACTGTGTTTTGTTTATCCATTCATCCACGGATAGACAGTAGGGTTAATTCTACCCTTTGGTTATTTTGAATACCACTGCTATGAACATGGGTGTATGGAATGATTTAACTTTCACACATAAATGAGATTTAGAATTATTTTTCTCATAACTCTCAGAAGCTCATATCAGCTACCTTTTAAGACCAGAGGTGTAGCTCAGAAAACCTACCTTCCAGGGATACTGGGAAGATTAAGGGAAGTAGCCGAGGGAGCGTACCACACACATAGTAGGTGCTCCATATACTTGCCATCCCCTTTCCTTCCCTTCTCTTCCCTTATAACTTGCCCCATTCTAGGTGCAGATTGCTGGGGAGTACACAAGTCCCATGGTTGCCTACAGTGCATCAAGTATTCTGAAAATGATTAGACTGCAGATTCTGCCTCCTGCATAGTCAAAACATTTAAAATACCATTAAACCTCTGCTTTCCCAGCTCTGTGGGTTTCTGCAACCTACAGCTCACAAAATTTCTGTGTCTGCAGGGGTTCATAATATACTCCAGGCTTGATGCAGTGTTGCACATGTTTCCACGATGTGATTATGGGGAAGAATGTGGTGCAGCTCGCCTTTTATTTTGAGATGGAAATTTTGCATGACATTTATCTCTCCCCTTGATTATGTATTTTAGTTCCTTGTGATCATTTTTCATGGGGATGAAAGGGTCTGCAAGAGTTCTGTCATCTATTTTATTTAGATTTTTGATTTTTAGATTTTCATCCCACAGTCATCCAGTATATCAGGAAAATATAAGTTCCCTTGTTGCAAGTGGCAAAGAGAAGACAAGGGAAAAAAGGGGACATTTATTAGCAGACACCATTTGTGGAGCCCCACCATGTCCTGAGAATCGGCTGGGAGCTTTACCTCCATGATCTCTAACCTGCCAATGCTGCTTGAGAATTAGAGGTCAAATGACCTGATTAGTGATAAGTGGTGCTTAGGAAGTATTACAGTCAAGATTTGAAACCAGGCCTGACTAGATCCTAGGTCTGTGCTTACGTCACTTCACAGTAATTATGCAGCTATTGAAAGCCAAGTGTTACCTACGTCCAGGAAATGTAGAGATGGTGACCCTGGTATGTGGAGTTTGCATTCCAGGCAAGACTATCCTCTTCTGTTACACATGAGTACATCTTCAGGCAGAAGTGACTTCCATAGGGTAAAGTGTTCTGAGAGTGTAAAGAAGGGGACAATCACATCCTTTACTCTTTTTAGAAAACTTTTTATATGGACCTGATGAATATGCAGGAAGAAGGGAATTCTTGTTGTAGGTAGGGGAGTGTGATCAAAAACACAGAAGTGAGAACATTTCAAGTGGGATAGTTGAGACTGAGGACACAAATTTTGTGTTTGTAAGCACTAGGGCAAGGACTCAACTTAGCTTTTGTACTCTTCCCCTGTGCTTTGCTGTATCTAAAACATGTAATGGTTTGGGCTTCTGGATTTGATGAAGATGCTGCAGCCACCAGGGATGAAGTTAGGCATTTTGCCCTGGCTGGCTGCTCTCCAAGATAGGTACCATGTGACTGGCAGGGAGCAGCAATTCAGGATAAAAGAAAAATGAAATAGGGAAGAGGAATGCCTGTTTCCAGTAGGTCCTTCCAAAGAAATCCTCAGCAGCACTTCAGACACCTGATCATGCCTAGAATCTGATGGCCTCCTCTGTGTATGGGGTTGAGTTCAAGCTGCCTTTACAACTACTTTCTCCAGGCTCATTTCCTGCCTCCATACAAGGTGGAGGAAGGCTCCAGATGGACGACCCCATCCTTTCTCCAACCTTTGTATCTGGCTGCAACACCTTTCTTCCACGTGCATCCATTCTCTCTCTCCTTCTGCACGGGAGCATCTCTAATTCATTTGTTAAGACCAACTGGAAAATTTCTTCCTCGGTAATACATTCCTCCACTTTGCCAGGGATAACTGCTCCCTCCAAGTGCTCCCATATCCTGTTATCTTTGTGAAAATTCTTAGAATGTGATATCATAATTATCTGTGTCCAAGTTTGCCTGCTCCACTGGTGCTGTGTACCTCCAGGGCATAGGAAGACTTGATGGAACAAATGAATGAATGGGTAAGGGAGCAATAGAATGAATGACTGATTTCTCCATCACCATAGACTGCTGCAAGATCTGCACCAGTGGACAAATTAGCAGGAGAGGGAGTGAGGGTGGGAGTCAAGAAATGATTAAGAGCATTTCCAGTGGTCTGGGCAATGGTCTCCTGACCAATACCCTGTGAACACAGGCAAAAATGGAAGAAACAGACATAGATAGGGCACCTTCCTGAGGCAGGTGCTTTGGAATCCAGGGGGTGACAGGTGGAACACAGGCAGCTTCTCTAGGGGAAATTCAATTGGCCTAAAAAGAAACCACCTAAAAGAGGATTAAACTGTTAAAAGATTAAACTGTACACTTATGTTGCTGAGGTTTTTAGTAGCTACCTGGTAGAAATCTCTGGAATATATATTATTTCCCATTTTCAATTTCATGGAGTACATCATTTTCCAAAGCAGTGTCCCCTGTCTAGCAATAGCTAGTCATCCAGCCACATCCCTCCCCTGAGCTGCACAGAAAAATCACATCTCTGCACATTGCAGTAAAGGCAGCCTACTGGGGTAGGAAAAGGACTCTCTGGGTTTTGCAGAGATCTGAGTGCAAATCCAAATTGGGCCATTTACTAGTTAGGGAATCTTGGACAATTTCTTTTAAAGTCGCTTTTTCTATGCACAGCTCATCATCTGTAAAGTAGGGAGAAGAACACCCCCAGCCATCTCTGTGGTGAGGACTGAAGGGCTTAGTAGGCAATCCCTAGTTGTCAGTCTCCTGCTAGCCCCCTGCTCTCCTTCCTTGAGAGACAGCTGAGTGAGGTGGAGCCAGCAGGGAAGGCAGACTGGGGGAGCAGGACTTGAATTGCAGTTTTATAATTTCGGAAAGCTCTCATAACTTTTAAAAAGGGGTTTCGTATTTCTCATTTGTTCTTTCAAACAGACTTGTTATGCAGCCCTCTGGGGTGGGATATTAAAGCATGAGCACCAACAATCTCAGGCTTGGAACCTCCAAGCTGTGAATTCCTTAGACATCCCGCATGGCCCTGTCTTCCTCTTTCATTTGCTTCCTTGAATTTCATTCATTTATTCATCTATTCTTTCATTCCTCTACTCATTAGTTAATGAATGTCACTCAGTTGTTTAGTTTTTCCTTTATTTATTAAACATATAATGAATACCTCTTTTGAGGCAGGCGTTGTGATAACCCATGGGATACAGATAAAATCCCAATTTTCAAGGGGCTCACTTTCCACCAGATGTGCATTGATAAACTAATGCACATACACACACACACACACAGTGATAAAGTGTCGAGTGCTACAACAGAAGTATGAACAGGGAATTGTGGTAGCATAGAGCGGTATGTGATTAAACCATCTCTGATTAAACACTGCACGGGTCAAGGAGGAGGTACAATTTCATTTTCAGTAACCAGTATTAGCTGGTCCCTTAGAAGAGCTCTTGGCTGGTGGCATCACTTAGTTATGCAATCATAAGGCTGGCAGCTCTTCAGGTCTCAGGAACTCTGACTTAGTGTCACGTTTATGTAATCCAGATGAGCATCTACATGTGGCAAATGAAAGCTATAACCTTGGAGCAAATATAGGAGGCCCCCACAGCACTAGCAGGGAATCCAGCAAATTATAACAGTGTCTAACCAGGCAAACAGAAACCACTTCCAGTCTTTATGACAGAGAGAATTTAATGTGGAGGATTTGTTATGCAGATGGGGGTGTAGCTAAAGAGTCAGGCAGAGGATTGCGGGATGATCCAGAGATCAGAAATAGCAGGGAAAATTATGAAGAAAATAAGTGTTGTCTGATCCATGAGCCTGAGGCAGAGAGGAAGGGAGAGAAACAGCCTGACTGTTCCTTTCACTTTCTTCTAATCTCCTCCCAGTGCCTTCCATTGGCTGAAGCCAGTTAGCAGCCAGATGACAGAGACACCCGGGAATTCCTTAGTCCCCTAGTCAGCCCCTCCACCTTGCAATTCAGAGGAGGGGAAATGGTGAGAATGTGATAGAGGGCGAAGAAGCCCAAGATGGGTTCACAAGGACATTCATCCCCATGGCACTGGGCAATCTCAGGCTGTGCAAAACCAGTCTTCTGTGGTGACACAGTTTGGCTGCCAGAAGCCATGGCAGGTGAGTTCTTTCTTTTTTTACCCCAGAGATGGGATCTTGTTCCATTGCCCAGGCTGGAATGTAGCGGCACTGCAGCCTCAAACTCCTGTGCATAAATGAACCTTCCACCTCAGCCTCCTGAATAGATTGAACTACAGGTGGGTGCCACCATGTCCAGCTAATTTTATTTTATTTTATTTTATTTTATTTTTTAAGAATTGGAGTCTTGCTATGTTTCCCAGGCTGGTCTCAAACTCCTGGGCTCTACTGATTTTCCCACCTTGGCCTCCTAAAATGCTGGGATTTATAGGCATGAGCCACTGTGACCAGCCTGGTTATCTTTCTTGATTTTTTTTTTTTTTTTTTTTTTTTTGAGATGGAGTCTCACTCTTGTTGCCCAGGCTGGAGTGCAACGGTGCAATCGCAGCTCACTGCAACCTCTGCCTCCTGGGTTCAAGCAATTCTCCTGCCTCAGCCGCCTGAGTAGCTGGGATTACAGGTGCCCACCACCACGCCCAGCTAATTTCTGTATTTTTAGTAGGGATGGGGTTTCACCATGTTGGCCAGGCTGGTCTCAAAGTCCTGACCTCAGGTGATCTGCTTGCCTTGGCTTCCCAAAGTGCTGGGATTACAGGCATGAGCCACCACGCCTGGCCCTTTCTTGATTTTTATACACTCCAAAGTTCTTGAACAATTCATAGCAGAGACATGGAATACAAGAATAGTACTTAAGAGATGATATCAGACTTCCTGTCAAGAAGGCATATATGTGATTGTTCAATTAACTGACAAAGTAAACTGGATTTAAATATAATGGAAACCCAAGTTGGGAATGAGATCATGTAACTTACATGATAATATAGTAATAATTATACATACTAAGATTGAGCTCTTTCTATGCACCAAACACTGTATTAAATACCTTATATAAATTAGGTAACTTAATACTCATTACAGTCCTGTGAGGGTATATATTATTAACTCATTGTACATAAAAAGTAACTGAAGTTTAGTGACTTGTGGAAGGTCATCTAATTAATAAATAGCAAAGATAGAGTTCTATCTCAAATCCCTTAGAACCCAAAATATATATTCTTAATCACTATGGTATATGTCTGCAAAGGAACAAAAGTATCCTTCACGTCACAGTCAGAATGTTGCTCTCTGGTTCCACCTTAAGGGACAATGAACATCCCATGCCACGCGGTGGAGAAAAGGCTGCATATTACTAATGCAACGTGACATCCCAGAAATCAGCATTAGGACCCTGATCAAAATATATTTGCATCATGTATGGCAGCAATAGTCTTAGCTTCTGTAATTAGATAATCTGGCATTAGTCTTGCTCTCCCCACTGTTGGAGACAGAAGTTTGGTCCCAGGGAATGTGGCAGGGGCAAATGGGCTGAAACCAAGCAGAAGAGATTTTCAGCTGATTATCTTACAAAATATGTCCAAGCTCTGAGCTATTATAGGATGAGAGTACCCCTCGGGATTGTGCAGAAAAGAAGCCCCATTGCCTTCAGCTCCTCTGAGTAAGTGCTGTGTAAACACAAAGTATCCAGATGATGGCTATGACAGTGTCCCATCAGCTAAAGATTAGTGAGGGCTCCCATGAACTGGGGACCCAGGACCACTGCAGACACAGATGGAGATGGGTCAAGGTAACAACAACTTCCAATGCAACACCACATACATTATCTCCTTTGAGTTTCAAATGCTTCCACAAAAGAGGCATAACAGATATTATTATCTTTGTTTTCTAAGTGAGGAAACTAAGGCTCAGAAAACAGGGGCGATTCACTGAAAATTATACATGCTATCAGTAGAAGAGCTGGAATTAGGACCTTAGTCTTGAGCTACAGGTTCAGAACCTTATTGCACTGCGCTATATTGAGGAGATATAGTTATGCTTTAACATTCCTTTTATGCCTATCTGGGTTTTGGTCTGTTAAAATGACAAATCTTTAAACAATTCCTCTAACACAAATATTCTAAACACAAATCAAGGCTTCTGTAGCATCAGTGTCTGACTTAACTTCAAATAATGAGATTATCCCAGAGAAGAGCCACTCATCCATAAGGCAGATCCATGTAACATCAGGCAGAGTGGTGTGGAATGCAGCAAAGGAGCTTGCGCCTCACTCACCATGAGCCATTCATAGGATCCAGGCCATGCATAAATTCCCAGCCTCTAAAGGACATTTGCAATATAAGTGTGGATTCTTGGGAAACTACAGCCACCTTTGTATCTCCCGTAAACATCATTGGACCACTTTATGGTGTTGAGTCCTTTGAAAAGATCTTTAATAGGAGGCTCTGTGCTCCTGAATAGGGGCTTGCCACTCTGGAACAGCCAGAAAAGATTTCATGCAGAAGAAGCTGCTGCTTCAAATGAGGTGTGAATGTGTAGGGGTTCCTCAGGAATACTGGGGATGGCTTAGTCCAACATTGGCATTTTTCAGATACAATTCACTTCAACTCAACAAACATTTATCAAATGTGTGTTTGTCAATGTTCTCAGGAAATTCTGACCTAGAGAAGTCAACATATTTTTACAATCACCCAATATGCTCACAGCAGAGCCAGGTTTGTAAGACATGTCTCCTGACCCCCAGGGGGCACACACTTCCTGGTATATCCCCCAGGGGCCACCTCACTTCCTTGGAGCAAAACAGCACTGAAGGACCTTAATCACTGTATTTTCCTTGGTGTTAGTGCTAGTTGTGAAAATGCCTGACACTGAGATCTGTCATATTTCATGTGCAGGTGGAGTAGTGATTAATGATCTACATTATCATCATTGAGACTTTGTCCAAAAATTAACTGATTGAATTTGTTAGATCTGACTATCGTTTTGTGAGCCACAGTGAAATCACAATTTTATTTGACATGAATGAATACTGAAATAGCTATTTAACCTCAGGCAAGGCTAGTCTATCTAATCTTGATGGGGCAGTAGGCTGGTTCCTTCAACCAAGAACCCAGCAGGAGGGTTGCCCAGTCATCAGCAGTACTTCCAAATTTGAGCACCTGTTTGTTGCATGTCTCTTTCTTTATATATGTCACCACGTATAGTGCTCACAACAAAATAGAATTGTTATGTTTGTTTTACAAAGGAGAAAGCTGGAGCATAGAAATGTTTTTAAGTAAATTGTTAAAGGTTGCATAGCTAGTTAAGTACAGGAGGTGCAATTCATACCAGGCTTGTCCAATTCCAAACCCCCTGTTGTTTGGCCAGAGAAAGAAAGTTTTGAAAGAAAAGAAATTTTGAAAAGAAGAATTTCATATTTGGAAGGAACTTTATGTTGTAGCTATATTGGGGGTGGTTATGGGGCCTTGTGGGCTTCAAATCATAGAGGGTGTCAGAGAAACAAGAGAAGCTGGAGTTGAGATGGAGGACGATTGGGAACAGGAAATCAGGCAGGCTCTAGCGTCTTGCTGTTAAGGGTTGGGACCAAGGGCAGTTTATGTGATCGCTGTCATCAACGTCACAGTGAGGTATGACTTTATACCCATCTCATTGCAAAACTTAAGAAGCCTTTCAATATTATGCTCAGTTATGGAGAATTGTGGATCAATAGGATCTTTTATACTTTGCTGGTGAGAATGTAAGTTGGTATAACCACTTTGGAAAATAATTTGGCATTACTTCACAACATTTGATATTCATGATCTCACCCCCAGATATACCGAAGGAAAAACATTTTTGTATGTGTAAGAGAAGACATGTTCAAGAATGTTCATAGTGGTACTGTCTATAGTAGCAAAAAACTTGTTTATGACCCAAATACCATCCCCAGGTCATAGGATAAATAAAATATGGTATATTAATTCAGTGGAATATTATACTACAGTCAAGTGGAGAACTTATGATTATGTACAATATAGTAAGAGCTATTAGCATGGGGGAGGACTGCATGTGTAGATACAGGATTTCCATTATGTAGGTTGCTGTAGTAATGGCTTTAAGGTGTCCATGCCTCTGTGTATCCACACCTTTGATATTCTTCTCCCACACTGGCTATGGGCCTGGAAAATGACTGGCTTTGACCAAGGGGTAAGAGCAAACATGATAGACACTGACTTGGAATGTGCTTGCACATTGAGCTAGCTCTCTCTTGCTGTTCCTAGAAACACTACAGTCATTGTCATGTGAACACACTTGAGCTAGCCTGGTAGAAAAATCTGGACCCACCACCTCTGTAACCCCAGCTGACTATTAACCAATGGTCCACAACAACTTCCAGACAACTGTGAATGAGGCTATCTCAGACTATCCAGCCAAACCTGCCCAGACCAGAGGAATGACCCAGGTGAGCCCAGGTGAATTGCCAGCCCACAAAATCATGAACCAGTAAATCATTGTTGTTTGAAGCCACTGATTTTTGAATGATTTATTATGTGGCAAAACCCAACCAATTTCATTTTTATTTAGGGCAGCAATTTATTTTATAATAAACAAAAAAGCAAGTGAGAAACTTGTATAAACCAATGATCAACATATATTTTGAAACAAGGAATACAGTTAATCCAATTATATGCACCGGAAGCTCATTTAAAGATAAGTAATAATAACAAAAGCACAAACTCATCTTTTAGCTTGATGATTACATCAAGCTGCAAAACAATCTCCCCTATTTAGAGTTTTTTTGCTCCTTGTGGCAGATTGCTGATTGTCGACCCTTCCTCCAACCCTCAGTTAATTCTATAACTCAGTAATAAGACATAAGAGGAAGTGATGTGTACAGGGTCCAAGTCATTTCAACAAAAGAATCTTGTCCGGAACTCTTTTCTCCCTTTTCCTTCCCATTTTCTGGAAATGGCAAGAACCGGAAAATCTTGAACACCAGTTTTGGGGAAAGGACACCTGCCCTGTCAGCTTGGGTCCCTGGTGGACTTGTGGACACAGAGCTGGATGTTACTCGAGTTGTTACACAAGAGGGAAATCAATGTATCTGTCAGAAACACTGTAATTTGTGTATCTTTGTTACAGTGCCTTCAATTTTTGTTCCAACTAACAAACTCTTCCATATCAATCCCTACAATATGCTACAGTGATGTTTCTGATATAAAATTCTTTTTCAAAATGGGTATGCCTATATTGCTTTTGCTTATTGTAAAAACTTCAAACCAAACAGAAACATATGAAAAGGATATAATTTCTGAGGATGTTGAATGATTTGAATGTTATCATTCCATATTTTTAATGCATCTAAAATTACATGTGGTTAGACTGCTAAAATTGTACTCTTCATATTTTTCTGTAATCTGCTTTCTCTATTTAATGACATATTACAGATATCTTTCCATGTCATCACAAGATCTATATAATAGTCCATCCAATGGATATAGCATACTGTATTTTAAAGCCCTCCTATGCAATTGTTTTCAACCTCTCACATTTTCGTAAGAAAAAAAAATCAGAAACATTCTTATATCAAATTTCTTGTGCACTTATTCAAGCTATTTCCTTCAGATAAGTTTTAGAAGAAAACTTTCTGGAGGAAGGGGAATTTAATACATACAATATACATCTTACCTGGTGAAAAGTTTTAAGGATTTCCCACTCTCTGAAAATAAAGTCTGGACCCAATGGCCTGGCATATTCCAGCAGGGCTGTTCTTCACTAAGCTCTCACTGACCTTTCTAACCTTACCTTCCACTCCCTAGAGCACTCTGTATTTGAGCCATGTTGATCATAGATTTCTATTGAAGGTATCCAATTATTTCACAAGTTTGTTCATCTCATGTTACTTCTTCTGTATTCAGTTATTTTACATTTGTCTGTTCCATATGAGAAATGCACACATGCACACACTCACACACACCTACTTTATATGGTGATCTACCTTCTTTCTGTTATTAAAAACATAGCCCAATATTACCTATTCTAGGCAGCCTTTCATTATGGTTGTTGTCAGCCTATCACATCCCCCTCCTCTTTGCTTCTATAGTAATTTTACCTACTTTTATCATAGCATTTATCACATACTTACCACATCCTGCTTCGCTATTTATTGTGTTTACTTATTTATTTTCCTGTCTAGACAATGTCATCCTGAGAGAAGAATGTTCTTGTCTTTGAATTCTCCTTCTCGGAATGGTAGCTGGCACCTAATGGGCATTCATGGGAATGCACATACACCTCGCTTTTCCCCAGGCATTCTGGGTCATGTTGTCATCAAGATCTATTCTAGGTTTCTCTAAATAATATTTCATATTTTGGAGTCTCACTGATTCTCTTCCTATCACCCTAAGCTACTTTCTTGGGGTAGACAGACTGAGGTGGTCCCATGCTCCCTTCTTCTGGATATTCAGGTCTTTGTGTGATCCTCTCCCCTTGAGTGAACAGAACCTGTGAATTGCTCCTAACCAATAGAACATAAAAATATTATGAAATATTGCTCCCTTGACTAAGTTATATCATATAAAACTCTCTCATGACAGACTCACTTGCAATTCTGCCAACAACCTGAGTAGGCTTGAAGCAGATTCTTCCCTATTCAAGTCTGTGAATAACAATGAAGCCTGGCTAATAGCTTGATTGTAGTCTTGTAGATCCCTGAGCAGAGGTCACAGTTAAGCTCTTCCTGTAGTCCTCCTGATCCATAACTATGAGATAATAAATGTATAATGTTTTAAGCTGCTAATTTTGTAGCAAATTGTTGCATGGTGTAGAAAACACTGGGCCTCCAATAGAAATTTCTGAGATTTCAATAAACCCAGACATCAAAACTATAATCCTTCCCAGTAAGTGACATGATTGGAGTCATATATTAAAAGCAGAAAATATAAAATTAGGTGGCACTGATATACAGAGAACCTCAAGGAAAGGTAAAAAAGTGTCAACACACAACAGTCTAGAATGTGTGTGCTTTCCGAGGTCTTTCTACTGGTCTACAATCCTAATGATAATGGGCACTTTCTCCTACATGCATTGGTAACTGAAGCTCGACTCTTCCTTGCATATGTGGGAAGCATTTTTACGTAAAGGGAAAAGGCCCAATATTAGAACATTCTGCCTGTAGCTAGGCATAGGCATGAAGATAGGAGTGAAGGCTAGTAAGAACTGAATTTCAATAAGTTAACAGAATTAAGGCATTATTACTAATGTACCAGAAAGTTATTAAAAGGACCATAAGGGTATATAGCTTCTTCCTGAATTAGGCCATTATATTAATAATAAAATCCATACTTCATTGGTGTCAGCCGAAATGTTGTCAAAGATTGAATGCTTATGCTCTAAGGAGATATGTGACACTCTTTCATGGCCAGGTCAAGGATGCCAGTTAGGTTTCATCATGTATGCCAATGATAATTGATTATTATTGACAGCTTGTATTGAATTAGGCTTCACAAGCAAATATGCTGTAGCTAACCAGCAATGTCTACCATTAGCAAGGGAGAGTGGCAGGGAGGTAATAATCCCCTCCCCTAGGCAGCTGATGAAACTGTGGACTCCATGTTAAAACACATGGAGTTTGAGTCCTGACAATTATATTCACCATCTTGGATATTTGGGTCATGTCACTTAACTTCTCCGAGCCTTAGCTTCTCCAAATTGTTAACCATCTTGAGGAGTCTGAGAATCATTAAGAGAGTCTACGTAACAGTACCCAGCAGAGTGTCAGGCCCCTATCTGATGTTTTTTTAAAAAAAAAAATTTTTACTCATAACTGCCAAACTTGGAAACAACCAAGATGTCCTTCAGTAGATGAATGGATACATAGACTGTGGTAGATCCAGACAATGGAATTCATTCACAATTCACTAATAAAAATCAGCTATTGAGTCATGAAAAGACAGAGAGGACCTTAAATGCCTGTTATTAAGTGAAAGGAGCAAATCTGAAAAGGCTACATACTGTTTATTTCACCCGTATGACACTCGGGAAGAGGCGAATCTCTGGAGACAGTAAAAAGATCAGTGGCTGGCAGGGATTAAGAAGGAGGGAGGGATGAATAGGCAGAGAACAGAGGATTTTTAGGGCAATGAAACTATTCTGTACAATATTACCATGGCACATACATGTCATCATATATTTGTCAAAACCCATAGAATGTACAAGACCAGGAGTGAACCCTAATGTAAACTATGGACCTCAGGTTGTAACGATGTGTCAATGTAGCTTCATTGAGCGTAACAAACGTATTCCCGTGGTGCAGGGCATCCGTAGAGGAAGAGGCCATGTACAATGGGGGTTAGGTGATATATGGGAAATCACTGTACCTTCTGCTCAGTTTTGCTGTGAACCTAAAAATTCTCTAAAAATAAAGTTTACTAATTTTTAAAAAGTCAAATCATTTTGAACCTTTGAATATTTGCTAAGCAAGTGGATGAAGAAATCAGCAGAGTTAAGGGATGAAAAGTGACTGTAATTTGCATTAGAGATAAGTTATAGATATCAGCGGACTGTGAGAAAGTAAATTTCATGACTAGATAGAGATATTAGATCAGAAGAAAAAGGGAATGAAATGAAAAACACGGAGATGAATGTATCAGGAAGAGACAGCCCAAGTGCCCAATGTCAGGAATGGGCTGCAGTTTGAATGATTAAAGAACACAGTGGAAGTTGGCACCTCCGTTTACCTATTTGTGTAACAGCCATGAGATTCACATTACCTAGAACATTACCTAGTGTGAAAAGGTGCCTGTTATCAGAACACTTCCACCACAGTGCCACCAGCAGGATAACCAACTTGTATAATTCCAAAGGCAACATGAATAATGGTAAGATGTTCATTCTTGAAGTGATTAACAGGTGCAGATTGCTATGGAGAAGAGTCAATAAGGAGGCAGAGAGAAGTTACCTTGTGATATGGTTTGGCTGGGTGCCCACTCAAATCTCCCCTTGAATTGTAATAATCTTCATGTGTCAAAGATGGGGCCAGGTGGAGATGACTGAACCACTGGAGCATTTTCCCCCAGACTGTTCTTGTGGTAGTGAATAAATCTCACGAGATCTGATGATTTTATAAATGGGAGTTCCCCTGCACAAGCTCTCTTGCCTGTCACCATGTAAGATGTGACTTTGCTCCTCATTTGCCTTCCGCCTGATTGTGAGGACTCCCCAGCCATGGGGAACTGTGAATCCATTAAACCTCTTTCCCTTATAAATTATCCAGTCTCAGGTATGTGTTTATTAGCAACGTGAGAACAGACTAATACATCTTGCTCCTGCTGAAAGGTAGGAAAACTCAGGAAGAGGTGTCCTCAGCTTTAAAAATAGGCATCCAACTCAGAATTCTGAGTGTGAGCTGATGCTCAAGTCAGAGCAAGGACTAATGCCTAGAGGGGTTCAGGTTGTAAACTGTCTACTGAAGGTAGAGGAACACTCTGCTTCTGGCTGGATGCCATCTTAAGGCTGGAAAGAGAATCAGAAATTACTATTTAAAATCTTGTAACGGGAACACATGATAAACTGTTGGGCCCTTGCCCTGAATTGTGTGTGTAACTCAAGTTTCAAGAGAGAGATGGATAGTTAACTAAGTGTACTGTATGCTATTCTATACTGGGTGCTGTGTGGTAAAGAAATGAACAATAAGCAATGGTAACACAGAAAAGCATTTAATTTGAAAAGTGTCAAAATCTGGCTATGCCATTTTGACTTACAAGAGAAATGACTTTTGCTGACTTCTAGGCTTTCCCTGCCAACGAGCGCAGTGGGATTCAACAATCTCACTGTCAAATGATGTCAATACCATGCTCTGATTCAAGTTGAATGGATTCACGTTTAAGCTGGACCACTTATTAGCATAACTTTGGGCACATCATTTGACCTCTCAGAAACTCATTTTAAAAAATGTTCTGTAAAATGTATCTGTAAAATGGAACTAATAGTAGTATCTACTTCATTAGTCATATCTTAGCAGAGTAGTGTTGACTTAAATCCTGCTTAACAGTGTTGGTGGCAGGACCACTTGAAACAGTGGCTATAAATACTCTTTGAAAATGGTAAAGCACGATACAGATATAAATCATTGATGCTATTGTTTTTTATTTATTATTTAATTTTCAATGCAACTGATTAGAATTTCTGATCTTTAAAAGAAGAGCAGAGTTTTATTTTTGCCATTTCTCTCTTTTTTAAAAATAAAATTATGATATATAGTACCATGCCCTGGATATGGAGTCTTTTTAGTAAAGTCTTAGAATGAGGGACGACTTCTCTTTTCTCCATCACCTCTCTGAGATCAATAGGGCTTAACAGATTGAGGACGGTTTACAGACAGGAGCTACTTCCATGTCATGTTTTAATACACAGATGCAATCTAATGTTCCTGGTCAAGAGGGTAAACATTGTTGCAATACATATATTTGAAAATTGCTTCTCTTCAAATATATATGTATATATATCTGTATATACACAATGTGTGTGTGTGTATAAAATCCTGATGTCTATTCTACAGTGCTTTCTAGTTGCTAAAATTGATCCAAGTTACATTAAACTAGATGTAGTCTCAAACAGAGCCAAGTTGTATAGCTCTGCAACTAGATCTAGCTATATGCTTTTGGTATAAACCTCTTTTTATATTTATTTTTGCGAACATATTTCTTCATATTATATGCAAGGAATGTATTTCTTAATTTCCCAGTCAATTAAAATGTGCTTTGATAAAGAGTAAAAAAGACTCAGCATTATCTCTGAGGACAAATGTGCATTACTTAATGTAACGGTATATTTAAAATGTGGTTTGATTAATGCCAAATCCTCGGAAGGTACATTTAAGGGAAAAACAGCCAGGGTTATCAAACTAGGAATTCTTGTCAAAAAAGATCAGTTCCCATTTCATTTCAACCATTTATCTTTGTAGTTGGTAATGTTTTCATACCTTTACAAGATTTTATAAATGAAGTTCTTTTGATATCCTTTCAAAAGATGCTTAATAAAGTAATGGAACCAATATATATTTTTTTCACCGACTGTTCATGGTAACTGGGAATGGTTTGCAGAGAATAGGAAAATTGCTTTTCTTCAAACTTGCTCAGTAGGGATGAATGGCTAAATTCACTTTTTTTCATACCCGCATTTCATTTAAACACAAATCCCTCTTTTCCCTCACACTTGCCTTTCACAAATTTAAGCCAAGTCTACAAAGAGCAGTAAACCAAAGAAAGAACAATGAGACAGTATTTTAGGTTGTAGGGAATCTATTACAGTGGAAAAATGCTGAATTCTGAATCTGAAAACCTGGGATACAATTTCTACCTTCATGTTGTAATTGGGTCCTTGAGAAAGTTACTTATGCACTAGAAGTTTAATGATAACAGTCTCAATTTTTCTATCTACTAAGTGGAGGATAATAAAATCTCTTCTTGTTTCACAGACTTGTATGTAAAATTCAAAAAAGATCATTATCCACATTATTGTTAACATTTTTGAGTGCTTCCTGTGAATCAAAAATAAATGCAACATATGTAGTGTGTATTAGTGATCCACTCATAAACACAGCAGCCCTATAAGAAATGTTCTATTTGCATTTTGTGATCAAGGAAACAGAGTTTCAGGGAAGTTAGTTAATAGACTTGCCCAAGGTTATAAGTCAATACATGATACAGCCAGGATTAGAATTCAAGCAAATATTGAAGTCTGTGCAGTTAACATTATATAAACTTCCATGATCATAGATATACATGCACTTAGGAAATCATAAAACACCAGGCAAATGCATATGAATTACTATTTACAATTTAAGTAGGGGCTTAGAATGAGATAAACTAACTGGCAATGTGACTGCTATTTCATAAGAGGTTGATAGAAGATATTTAGTACAAGGTCAGTGTTCATCTTGATTTTTATTATATGTTAAAACTTCAGGGCCAGGCGTGGTGGCTCACACCTGTAATCCCAGCACTTTGGGAGGCCAAAGCCATCGGATCACCTTAGGTCAGGAGTTCAAGACCAGCCTGACCAATGTGGTGAAACCCTGTCTCTACTAAAAATACAAAAATTAGCCAGGCATGGTCGTGGGCACCTGTAATCCCAGATACTCGGGAGGCTGAGGCAGAATTGCTTGAACCCAGGAGGCAGAGGCTGCAGTGAGCTGAGATCGCACCACTGACTCAAACCTGGGCAACAGAGCGAGACTCCACCTCAAAAAAACTTCAAAGAAGAAAGTCTCCACCCCATGAAGTTAGAGAGAGGTATGTAGTCAATCTTCTTACCTTAGCTGTATCTTTACTATCGTTTCCCCCTCCCAGCACCCACAAATTATGCTAATTTATGCCCCAGATTGGTACTTAATTTAAAAAAAAAACCTAATGTATTTCACAAATATTTGTTGAATATCTATTATGATTCATTTCTTTATCCATTCTGTACATTCAGCCATGTAAAAATTCTATATAGGAAGACAGAACAAGCTAAATCTATTATAAAGCTATAAGCTGAGTGTCTTATGGGAGGTCAGAGGAAGAGCCAAGAGTCTCAAAGGAAGTGAGAGATATCCCCAGGAAAAAAAGATGGTGAGAATATTCTGAATTATAAACTAGTACATGCAAAGGTAGGAATACCAAAGAAAAAGGGTGTATATGAGCTGAGGGTATATGTATTAGATGGACTTGGTTTCTAAGCCATCAGGTGTGCACTGGTGTAACTGGGAAGTGGGCTACATGGAAGGATGTGATGGAAGAGGCAAGTATCTTCACTAAAGATTCTGGGCTAAAAGAGGTCAATAAGACCAGGCCATGCAGCTCAAAATGCTAGTGCCCTCATGTACGTACTTAAAGTGTCCTATCAGGTACCATCAGGAAAATACCTGTTATGACCCTGAAATAAGTCTAATCGCAAAAGGACAATAGAATCCACTAGTGTTCTGAAATTGCAGTACTCTCTTTAACCTGTACTCTTCCACTCTCCCCTTGGGATCACAGTCAAAAGGTATTCCCGGTTCATCTGGTATCCACAGAGCCAGTAAGACCATGGCCACCTCCTCAGTGTCTAAGGGCTGCTTTGTTTTTAAGCCAAACTCCAAAAAGAGAAAGATCTCTGTGCCAATGGAGGACTATTTTAACAAAGGGAAAAATGAGCCTAAGGACAGTAAGCTTCAATTTGGAACTTAGTTGATATGGCAGCAAATGAAATCTGAAAATGAGCCACTACAAGAGGAATTAAATAAAAACTTGTTTGACAATCTAACTGAATTTCTGCAAAAATCTCATTCTGGATTCCAGAAGAATTCAAGAGACTTGGGCTGTCAAACAAAACTCAGAGAAATTCCAACTGCTGCTCTTGTTCTTGGTGTGAAAGTCACAGATCATGATTTAACATTCAGAAGTCTAACAGAGGCCCTTCAGAATAAAGTCACACCATATGTAGTCTCATCGCAAGCTAAAGACTGTCCAGATATGAAACATTTTTTGCAAAATTTGGTCTCATAATTAATGAACTGCTGTGTACATCTAAAATCCAAAGAGGGGGAAAGCGTTCAGGTCACCCAGAGAAATACACATTATTTAATGGATTCACTTTCCAGTTGGTACATGACTGTCACACAGAAGACAGACCCAAAAATGCCAAGCAAAAAGAGGACTACTTCTAGCCAATGGCAGTCTCCTCCTGTTTTGGCTACCTTAAAGGATATGGAAAGCTTTGCCACAAAAGTACTGCAAGATTTCATAATTATCAGCAGTCAACATCTGCATGAATTTCCACTAATACTCATTGTGGGAATCGCCACATCTATTATCAACCACCGATTGTTTCCTCATGCAGTATCATCTCTGTTGTGTATAGAACTGTTCCAATTTTTGTCTTGCAAGGAGCATCAGACTATGGTACTCAATAAGCTACTTCTTACAACTCAGTTTCCCTTTAAAATAAATGAAAAAGTATTGCAGGTTCTGACCAACATCTTTTTGTATCATGATTTCTCGATTCAAAACTTTATAAAAGTCTTCAACTTTCTTTATTAGAGCATTTCTGTTCCCAGCCCTTAAGTGTCCTGTGCTGTAATCTTCCATAAGTCAAAAGAAGAATAAATTTTTTATCAAATAATCAATGTGAAAACATCTGACGTCTTCCATCTTTTAGGAGATATGTGGAAAAGCAAGCTTCAGAAAAGCAAGTTGCGCTCTTGACCAGTGAGAGATGTTTGAAGAAGGAAACGCAATTATTACTAGAAAACCTGCATGTTTATCATATGAATTACTTTCTGGTTTTGAGATGTGTTCATAAGTTCACCTCTTCTCTTCCCAAGTATCCACTAGGTCGACAGATCAGAGAGTTGTACCGCATGTTTAGAAAAGAACATCCGGAATTCAGAGGAGTACGCATCAGTCTTGCAGCTGCTGAAGATGTTGGCAAAGGATGAACTGATGACCATACTTGAGAAATGTTTCGAGGTTTTTAAATCTTCTTGTGAAAAGCACCTTGGCAGCACAGCTAAGAGAATACAGGAGTTCCTGGCCCAGTTTCAGAGCTTCGATGAAACCAAAGAGGTAGAAGATGCTTCTGGTTCATAGCCAAAGGGGCTTCAGAAGGCAGACCTCTATCATCTTCAGAAGTCTTTACTGGAAATGAAGGAGTTAAGCAGAAGTAAAAAGCAAACCAAATTTGAAGTACTCAGAGAAAAGGTTGTGAACTTCATGACTGTCTAGTGAGAGAATACCTTCTGCCTCCCGAGACACAGCCTCCATGAGGTGGTGTGCTTCAGCGCCGCCCATGCCCTTCGTAGGCATTTAATGCTGCTCCGTGAATTGCCCTCCATACTGCACTCAACAATCCTTACTATTCTCTAAAGAATGAAGCACTGAAAAGGGAAGAAGGGTGCATTCCAAATATCACCCCAGACATCTGCATAGCATACAAATTGTACCTAGAGTGTCGCAGGCTAATCAACCTTGTGGACTATTCACAGGCTTTTGCAACAATTTTGACAGCTGCTGAAAAAATGGATGCAAATTCTACATCCTCAGAAGAAATGAATGAAATTATCTATGCTTGGTGTATTAGAACTGTTTTTGAACTAGAACTTTTAGGATTTATAAAACCTACCAAACAGAAGACTGACCATGTGGCAAGGCTAACATGGGGAGGCTGCTAGAAAGCAAATGAGCAAAGCCAGAACTATCAGATTTAGCTTAAGAGAAAAAGGTGACCAGTCATATTTACATACACTAGAGGAGTGGAGGAGCCTGTTTTGGTGAGAAGATAAATGTGTAATCCTTATGTGATGTTTATCCAGAAAAGTACATTGCTAACTCCAAACAGGCATATATCAAAACAACTGTGGAATACTTTAGAGTCCAACAAATAATATATATAACTAAAACTGCTCACACATTTTACTGTACTTTCCACAAAGTCATTACTAAATTGTGAGTAAATCATTCTTGAACTTATAGTATACAAATGTAATGAATTCCTTTATCCAGGAGTATAAATTTTTTAAAAAAGTATTCCCTTTGACTTATCAGTACCTGAAGAATATTTTCAGAATGAACATGGTTAGGGTCCCTTTGCTGATTATAAAATAGCCAGTTCTTTATCAGAGATGGATTCTTCTTTTAGTCAGTGGCTTAGGTTGGATTACTGCATATTATTTCAACTTAATCTTTTATTTCAGTGATGGTCCTGCCAAATCTCATATTGGCATGACCAAAACTTCAGGCTAGGGCTTGAGATTAATACTGTGCTTGTGAGATCCCATAGTCAGAAACTCTATGGTTTGTGAAGGAAACCCAGGATGCACTCAGCTGGCAGAGCTTTTAACATCACATTCAGAGTGAGTCCAGTCTGCTCTAGCATGGTGGCAACAGCTCAGCAGTGCTAATAGGAGTAATAACTCACATTTGTCTGTAAGAAAATAGAACTAGAAGTCACAGACAGAAAATAAATCAAGGTGGAAGGCGCTAAGTTCAGCCTCACTCTTTTTTTCATAATCTCACGAGTATTCCACATTTTAAAGAAAGCTACTCCTTCAGACGAAGGGAAGAAGAGAGTGTCCCAACCACTCTGTGCCAAGCATTGTGCAGAAACTTTCCCATGAAAGTTCCCAGTTAATCTTCATATCTCAGTGAGTTATTTTAATCCCACTTCACAGACTTACATTATATGAGTCTCCAAAGGCTAAAACACTTGCCCCTGTCACATGGTTAATAGGTGACAGAGTAAGCTTCCAAATCCAACATATGTCATAGTACATACTAACTGTTCACTGACCTGCAAAGTACTAAGTCACTGCCTTGAACAAAATGATTTTAAAACATCTTTCTTTCTGAGATGTGGCTTCAGATACATTTACCATGCCTTCTCAGTCCTTTACCATTTAAGTGTGGCTAATTCTATTCAATAAGATATTGAGTAGCTTTCATGTGGCAGGTATGCTAGATAACAGAGGTATAATGTTGCATGATGCTATGGACTGATGTTATATGCCCCCAAAATTTACATGTTAAAATCCTAACCTCCAATGTGACAATATAGGTAGCTGAGACCTTTGGGTGGTGTTTAGGTCATGAGCGTGGAGACCACATAAATGGGATTGGTGCCCTTACAAAGGAGACCCCAGAGAGTTTCCTCATTTCTTCTGCCGCATGAGGACACAGAGAGAAGATTGCCATCAATGAACCAGGAAGCTGGCCCTCACCAGAAGCTGAATCTCTAGTGCCTTGATTTTAGAGCTCTCAGCCTCTAGAACTGTGACAAATAAATGTTTGCTACATGCTTGTTGTTTAAGCTACCCAGTCTATGGTATTTTTGTTATAGCAACTTGAATGGACTAAGGACAGATGAGGACCAGTTTTTGTCCACACTTATTTTGTTATTTCTTCAACATATGTTGAGCGCTTGTATGTGCCAAGCACTGAACTAGATTCTCAGAGCACAACAGTGAGTGAAACAGCTATAATTGCTGGAATGGCTTATAGTTCAATGAGGCTCATTGTCTTTGGAAGTGGTGATGATAGCCTCTGGCTGGTGATACATACTCTTCACTTCTGGCTGAGGTGATGAATTTTTACTTACTGACATACTTTTTCATATTTTAATCACACATTTATAAGACATCTGTAATGCAATTAAAGGTAAAGAAAGACAATGAAATTGAATATTTCAGAATTTAGTTGATCCTCTGATCAAATATCTTTCAAAATCTATGCTTTCATTTGAACTAAAGCTCAAGAGTCGTGCTTAAGAAACAATTTAACAATTTTCAGTAAGAATGCATTCACTGATTCTATTTCTTAAAGAGTTTTTTCCTATGAAGAAAATCTATCTCAAAGTGGTAGTCATTTATTGACCAAAGAATACATTTATCCACCTTTTCTGCTAGATGTTTTCTAAAAACACCATTGAGAAAGTAGGATCTGAGCAATAAAGAGTTAACCCCAAATCAAATTAATAATAATTTTTAAAAATTTAACAAAGCCATCAGTGACATAGAAATACAACATATAATGCATTATATATTTACAAAGTAAGAGTCAATGTTAAGGGTGGATGAGATAGTTAAATAGCATGTTTATTTAATAAGCATGTACAATGAGTGTCTCTCGTATGAAACCATACTATATATTTTCAATTAAGGCATTATACTTAGCAGACTAGAAAAATGATTATGGGAAAGAGTTTAATATCTTTAAAATAAATAGGTTCTGGTAACTTACCTAAGAGAAAAATATTTGGATGTGGTTTACAGATTACTTTTAGAAACTGATGATGAATTTCCCAGAGTTGTTTACCTGCTATGAACAATAATAAAAAATGTTATCTTGGCTGTTTAGAAGTACCCAGTCATTAAAAGGAAAGCCAGTGGAGGTGGGAGTATTGACTGGGAAGGGCCACAGGGAGACTTTCTGGCTTGATAGAAATGTCATGTGTCTTGATAGGGCTGTGGGTTATGCGTATAAATTAATTTGTCAAAAATCATGGGACTATGTTTTTAAGTTCTGTGCCTTTCACTCTATGAAAATTATAACTCAATAAAAGTACTAGTAAAATTTTAAAAATGTAAACTGTGGTAAAGGAAAGACTTCTTGCTTATTTCTCAAAATCCTGGCTTGTACCTTGTTTAGACCCTCTGTCTCACATTACACAAAGGCATCTCAGGAAATGGAACACCAGCCTGTGGCTTGCTCTGGAGAGTGGCCCAGTGTCTTATGCCATGGCCATATTTTACTGTTGAGATGGCAGAATAATGGACTTACTGTGTGCAAGTGTGCTCATGTGCACACACGTATGGGGGTTCACATGGTGTATATGCATCTGAATGTGTTCCATTCCTTTTTTGAGCCTCATTTTCTCCTTCTACCTAAAGGGAATCATAACATTGGCTCTATCTTACTAAGAACACCTGTGATTTGGTTCAGTGAGATCACAGATTTGAAACATCTTCCAAAACTCTTAACATTGATGATTGTGTTCAAATTATTATTTTCTGATTCAAAAACAGATGTGTTGTGGGAAGGGTGTGAATAAGTAGATACATGTCCCTAAACTGCCTATTAACTTTCTTCCCCTGAAAATCCCCAGGGTTTATCTTTCTCAGAAAATGCTTCAGCAGGTAGCAGCATTTATAGCTGCTGCTTCTTTCTTCATAAACAGTCAAAAAAGGTGTCCTGGAGTTCGAGACCAGCCTGGCCAATGTGGTGAAACCCCGTTTCTATTAAAAATACAAAAATTAGCTGGGTGTGGTGGCAGGCACCTGTAATCCCAGCTACTCGGGAGGCTGACGCAGGAGAATTGCTTGAACCTGGGAGGCGGAGTTTGCAGTGAGCCGAGACTGCACCATTGCACTCCAGCCTGGGCTACAAGAGAGAAAACTCCGTCAAAAAAAAAAAAAAAAAAAAAAAAAGTGTCCTATCATCTCCTGAGCAGCACATACTTACTGACTGCCTACAATATGCTATTTTTACAGAGACTCTAGAGACATGTTTTTTTTTGTTTTTGTTTTTGTTTTTTCCTGGGTCAGTAGTACAGCTTTGTTCCTAAGCAAACTAGGCTAAAGATCAACCTACTGAGATTAGTTGTGTGGCCACTTTCCCCTGACCCCAAGTGTCTTTTCTGTACCAAGCATGTGTCTTCAACCTGGATGAGTTTCTCACCTATGGAAACTGAAATAATTTCCAAGGCTTTTGTCTTCTAAGCTTGATCTCAATCTGCTGAAAGGGGTGGAGTGGATGCTTTTCAAGTAAATAATGCACTGGGGCTCTTATTCCAGTGCCTCAGAAATATTTGAGTTGCTAGCATATGGGGAGTTATGATTGGAATATCCATTCCAATGGCAACTTTCCTTCCACAGAGATTTTCTGTAAAGAATTTGCATTTGTATACCTTTACAACAACTATAAAAGTTTGAGTTGAGTACTTGGAAATTTAGTGAATCTACTCTCAAGGGTAATTAGAGGAGAATCAAATAAGAATTGGGAATATCAAAAGAGTCAACATAGAGGTGGAACTGAAGTGTTTTTGCTTGTTTGTTTGTTTTTTGTAATAAAGCTTTGGGCAAGATTAAAAAAAAAAAAAAGTAGAAGCCTCTGTGTGCTGAGAGAGAGAGCCCTAAGGCTAAGTATGAAAACTTTGACCTGAACTTCTCAGTAGCCAAGCTCGGAATACAACCTTGGTGTCTGAAGTATGCCCAGCTACTTACCAATCACCCAGAACTTTTTCCATCTCAAATATTCATAGTTCCTATGTGTTTTCGAAATTTTGAAATATTGTCATCATAAAAACAGAAAGACATTACCATTTATGTGAAGGAAAGTCACAAAACCAAATGCCTCTTGCCCTTCATCATGCCCATAAAACAAATGTACAAGGCTATCCTAGAGGCTGCAAGGGAGTTGAAACCCTGAAACTTCCAAAAGTTAGTAAATGAAAATTAATTGCACAGAGGCCATTCTAATTTAGCATGCATAAAATATCATTAGTGCTATCTATATTGAGTGTTCTGTTTTTACTGTTATATTTCAGTAAACATAAAAATTAAACCTTTCCTAGGTTTTACTCCTGATCTCCTTGCTACTAAGTCTTTATTTTCCATAATGTCTTAATTCTTGAAATACAAACCATTCCTCCATGACATTTTTCAGAAACCTAATCCTAATGGTTAGAAAGTAAGGATTATATTGTATTATAAAATAGGTTATTATTGTCATCATGTGGGCAGAAATGAAAATTACATATTGTGATAAATATGAAAGCAATTATAGCTTATAGTCTTCCTGAGCCTCAGTTTCCTTATCTGTGAAATCTGTGCATGTGAGCGAGGGTGATGGACTTAGTAGCAGTTAAAGCCTCTTCCACCCCTAACTTCTCAGTCTATTCACATTTCTCACAAATCTAAGTGCAAGAAACCAACTTCAGAGACAAGACTGCTAGTTCTTTCTCATTAAGATTGAATTTGCATTTAGAAAGTGTGAAATTTAGGAAAAAATAATTGCTAGAAAAACAGAAAAAGCAATGATATTTTTATGTCACTCCATTTACTTCCTTTTTCTGAAATCAAATAGTTCTAAATTCGTTAGCAAGACATCCATGATTTCCATGATATTTCTCTAAATTCCCTTTCTAATTCCATTTGTCCACTCATCCTGCAACAGGCAACCAGCTCACTAGTTCAGGTAATACGCTGGGGATTGCCCCCACCAGTTACTTGTGTATCTTCTCCTCCCATCCAGGAAAGCCCTTTCTTCTATCTGCTTATCAAAATTGTACCCATTCTTTACGGTCAAAGCTCAAACACTCACTTTTTTTAACTAGGTCTTTCTAATTAGACCAATCTCCCTTCTCTTTCAATCTCTAAGCATCTTAGAGGCACAGCCTATTAATGTTGAAGGGCTTATTTTATTATTTTTTATATTAAAGTTAAAATATCATATATAGTAGTCCCTGCTTATTCCCCCAGGGGGTATGTTCCAAGAACCCCAGGGAATGCCTGAAACCATCAATAGTACTAAATCCTATTTATACATTTTTCCCATATATACACACCTATGATAAAGTTTAATTTATAAATTAGGCACAGTAAGAAATTAACAAAAATAGCTAACAATAAGGTAGAACAAATACAACAATATACTGCAATAAAAGTTATGTGAATGTGGTCTCTCCCACTCTGTCTATCAAAGTATCTTACTGTACTGTCCTCAGCTATTTTTGGACCATGGTTGACCATGGGTAACTGAAACCACTGTAAGTGAAATTGTAGATAAGGGGGCTACTATACTTTTCTTCTTACATTAAGAGCTTTTTGAGGGCAAAATTTAGGTCTTCTTGTTTGTACTTTTTTATGCTTACACTTCATGCAAGTATTTAGCAAAATGCTTTATAATGTCTTCAAAATAGTACCAGAGTAAGGTCTGGAATTTTGAGTTCCAGTTTTAGGCCCTTTATCAACTAATTATGCAGCCATACACATATTATTTAAACTCTATTAACCTCAATTATCTCATGTAATATAAGGATAAAAACATCCACTCCACTTGGAGGATTAAATGCCAAAGAGCTTTTAAAATTCTAAAATATTATATTACTTTAAGAATGAAAGTTATTAATGTTGTTCTTATAATTTTATTATTATGGTAGTCACTCAGTGACCACTAAATGTGTCTTTAAAAGTGAAAAAGCAAAAATAAGTAGATAATAAATGTCACATTTGAATGTGGTTATAACAGAATGGAATGACTATACTCATTTATTTTTTCTCTCTCCCCAAACTCTATTAAAATAAAATTAAAGGAAATTTTTAGTAGCTAAAAAAGCAACATTACAAAGAGAAAAATGAGGAGACAAGAGCAGACAAGGGATTTCTATGAACTTTTAGAAATTTGAAAGTGGATGAAGGAGTAATAACTGGCATAGCGGAGCAGGGGTCATTTTACCCTCTAAACCTGGAGAAGGATATTTCAAGGAGAAATCAGAGGATCCTCCCTAGGAGCCCAGGAAAGACTTGCAGCTAACGGCACCTGGGAAGGTGTCAGTGAAGGAGGGATGGAAATGAAACTACTGTGTGTAGAGTAGTTTTTCTTCATATCCCCTCTGTCTTCTGTATTCCCGTGGTCAGACATTATTTCATTCCTATTCTCTTCTCTCTCTGTTCCTCCAGTCCCAGGAGACCAGAGGTTTATATGCTAAGGAAGTGAACCTTAGAGGTTCTGGACTTGAGTGCACCAGGCACAGGGAAGGATGGAGGTCAGATGTGGGACCAAAAACATAGGGAGATGAAGTGAATGTCTCCATTTTGTATGGTAATGGTAGTGCTCTCAGCTTCCTTTCTCTCCCTGCTCTTAAATGCAAGGAATAAGGCAGTTATCTTCAAAGCTAGAGACTGGAAGATTCCTCTCTGGAAAAAATATAAGAGAGAGTTCAGGGATATGACACACAGATAATGACATATGGAGGTTCTCCAATTGGGTTGGGGGCAGATAATGGGTAAAAAACAGGCAAAAAGCAAAACAAAACAAAACAAAAAAACCTGTTTGTCATCTCATTTCTCTAAAGTGAAGCAGAGAAGTTAAGGCTTACTGTTCCCCAATTGCCATCCTCCCACACAGGGAATCTCTAATTTGCTTTTTACTGACTCATATTTAAATATGAAGTAGCATTTAATGAAGGAATATCTTTAATTTGAGGAGAAAGGTGGGGGGGTGGAGAGAAAGTGGGAGAGAGAGAGAGAGAGAGAGGAAAGGGAAAGGAACTCTAAGAAAAATAGAATTAAAATTTCAAATAAAACTATAATATATTTAGACAGATAAAAGATAAGGATGAAATCTTGAAATAAGTACAAGATATGATAAAAAAAGGTGTAACTGGAGAAAATTTTTAAAAATCAGTAAATTAAAATTATGATTGCTTATATGAAAAAATATTTAAAAATAAGATTCCAATTGTTTTTTCCAAAATTTGAACTAAAAAGCAAATGTGGAAAGACAGCATCGGAAATAAGAAAGTGAGATCATTTGAGGAGCTCTAACATCCAACAAATAGATGTGTAACAGAGAGAAGAAGTTTGTTTTTCTGCAACTAACTAGACACAGAGATAAATATTTCTAGTTTGACTGACTGACCGAGTCTTCTGCTGATTGCAAAAACAGTGCCAGCTATAAATCAGCTCATCTACAGCTTGTCTATTCTTCACTATACAAGTAGAAGGCAAGAACACCCTGCCAAGACTCTCTGATCTTGGGATCTAGGGTGCTCTTCCTATTGCTATAACGTGAATACAGTAAATGTCCTTACTTGTTTATTTTTTTCTTTGTCAATGGAGACCAATAAATTAGAAAAGAAGTAACAGAATATGTTGTCAAAAAAGTAAAAAAAGAAGTCTCCAGACTGTGGGCCCAGAGGGCCCATCTCAATAGGTGGAGAAATATTCATGTGAAGGTCATTGGGAATAAAAAGAAGAGCCTTAAAAGCTTCCATCTACTGTCTTCATCCATTTTGTGCTGCTATAACAAAATACTCAAAACTGGGTAATTTATGAAGTACAGACATTTATTTCTCACAGTTCTTGAGGCTGGGAAGTTCAAGACCAAGACACCAGCAGATTCCTCATCCGGTGAAGGCCTAGTCTCTGCTTTCAAAATGGTGCCTTGAACACTGCATCTTCTGGCAGGGAGGGACGTTGTATCTTCACATGGCAGAAGGCAGAAGGGCAAAAATGGCTGATCTCCATCAGACTCTTTTATAAAAGCATCTAATCTCATTCATGAGAGAGGAGCTCTTGTGGCCTAATTATTTCTTATAGGCCCCAACTCTTAATACTATCACATTGGCAACACCTGAATTTTGAAGGTGATATATTCAAACCATAGCACCTACTGAGGATCAGGAATGAGAATGGAATTGGATTTTCAACAGCAATAATAAACTCTGAAAATTAATAGAGAAATGTTTTCAAACTTCTGAAGAAACATTATTTTTAACCTGGATGTCTAGTATCAGACAAACTTTCAGTCAGACATAAGAATAGAATTAAAATAAATTTCTCAGCAAGCTATTTAATAACTACAAGCATCCTCTAGTAATTAGAGGGTATACTTCAGAAAAATACAGAACTAAATAAAGAAGCATGTGTATGATTCAGGAAATAAGGTATCTCTCCCAGAAGTGGGGTAATAAGAAGATTTAAGATGATGAGAATATGATCAGTTATACTGAATCAGGAAAACAGAGAGCTCTAAAGAAGGGCGACCATAGAGGAAAAGAAAATCATAGGTTATTTATATTTAAAAGATGTGGTAATGTAAAAAAATTGTTGAAGTATTTCTGAAGAATTGGTGATAAATATATAGAAAACCCATAAATAAAAATAATTTATACCCAAAGGATTATAAATTATTCTACTATAAAGACACATGCACATGTATGTTTATTGCAGCACTATTTATGATAGCAAAGACTTGGAACCAACCCAAATGGACATCAGTTATAGACTGGATAAAGAAAATGTGACACATATAAACCATGGAACACTATGCAGCCATGAAACAGAATGAGTTCTGTAACCCCAGCATTTTGGGAGGCTGAGGCAGGTGGATCACCTGAGGCCAGGAGTTCAAGACCAGCCTGGCCAACATGGTGAAACCCCGTCTCTACTAAAAATACAAAAATTAGTCAGGCGTGGTGGTGGGTGCCTGTAATCCCAGCTACTCGGGAGGCTGAGGCAGGAGAATCACTTGAATCCAGGTAGTGTTTGCAGTGAGCCGAGATCGTGCCACTGCACTCCAGCCTGGGTGACAGAGTGAGACTCCGTCGCAAAAAAAAAACAAAACAAATAAAAAAATAAGTTCTTTTCCTTTGCAGGGGCATGGATGAAGCTGGAAAGCATCATCCTCAGCAAACTAACACAAGAACAGAAAACCAAACACTGCATGTTCTCACTCATAAATGGGAGTTGAACAATGAGAACACATGGACACAGGGAGGGGAACATCACACACTGGGGCCTGTCCAGGGGTTGGGGGAAAGGGTGGGGGAGAGCATTAAGACAAATACCTAATGCATGCAGAGCTTAAAACCTAGATGACGGGTTGATAGTTTCAGCAAACCTCCATGGGACATGTATACCTACGTAACAAACCTGCACGTTCAGCACACGTACTCCAGAACTTAGAGTAACATAAAAATAAAATAGATATATAAAATTCGAAATAGAAGTGAACAGCATCTATTTTTCTACTCATTGTATTTTTATCAAATCTTTGACTTGATTTAACCAAAAACGTGACAATTTGGAAGATGGAAAAGGGAAAATGTATATGGATGAGAGTAAAAACCTCATCTACGAAAAGAGAAGTAAAAAAGTGTCTAAAATGAAAAAAAATCAAAAAATGGTAGTATAAGTAATTTGCTTATATAGTGGTCATTAACAGTGGAAACACACAAAAAGGTGCATAGTTCAAATATGTGCAAGTCTAAAAGTTGGGGGAGAGGTGAAGCAAGGTATAACTTTTTTTCTCCCCACCTTTCATCCTCCCAGTAGTACTTAACTTCTTAAATCATGTTCATGTAGCAATTTTATAATAATAAAAGTGAATTCAGAAAAATTAAAGTAAAAATGTTCCATATTTGAGAAGCAAAAAATACATCATTATAAAACTTGGTCATTAAACTAGAGTTTCCTTCAGCCTGTTCGCACTACACGAGCCGTGGATTATATGCACAGAAGCAATGATAGCATAGCCCATTGAGCATTTTTGAGTTTAAATAAATCTTCCACAATTGCAACTTCTGTGCAATGGGAAGTAAGTTGGTAAAGGTTATTGAATTGAAAAACCTGAAATTTCTAATTGTTACAGCTCATCCTGGGTATGTGTCAGAATAGTTTCTCCTTTTTGGATTATTTAATTTTTAGAATATCAGAAGACAACTGAATGCTCAAAAATAATAATACTGCTATAAGTCAAAATAAAGTGAGAGCTTGAAAGTGGTCCAAGAAAATACCTGGCCATGCTTGTATCTGGGAGAGAAGAACAGTGAAGAAAACTGCCATTTACTGAGCACTTACTATGCACCAGCTTTAATCACTCAACTCGTTCTGTTCTTGCAACAGCTTTGTGAGACAAATTACCACTTTCTTTGTGGAGATGAAGACATGGAGCACCAAAGAGGTGCTCTGTTAATAACCTGTTTCAGTTCACACAACAGTAAGAAGCAGAGCTGATACTGTTTTCCAGGCTTGAAACTGCTCTCAACCACCTGGTTACACCATCCCTTAGAACTGGGTTTCTTCCTCCTATCATCCTTAAACCCAATATTCTCCAACTGGGGTCCAGTAGCCACAAGGGTGTGGCCCAAATGAGCAACTGATGTGCCAAGATATTGATCTCCTGAGTCCTTTAAGTACGCAGGGGAGGTAGAGCCTGGCTCCTTACTCAAGTGTCCCATGCTGGTGTCATCATCATCTATGTGCATCATGATGTGAATGAGGTTGGAAACCTTACTTTAGGCAACAATAAATCAGCCCCCTACAATTTTTTTTTATTATTATACTTTAAGTTTTAGGGTACATGTGCACCATGTGCAGGTTTGTTACATATGTATACACGTGCCATGCTGGTGTGCTGCACCCATTAATTTGTCATTTAGCATTAGGTATATCTCCTAATGCTATCCCTCCCCCCTCCCCTCACCATACAACAGTCCTCAGAGTGTGATGTTCCCCTTCCTGTGTCCATGTGTTCTCATTGTTCAATTCCCATCTGTGAGTGAGAACATGCGGTGTTTGGTTTTTTGTCCTTGCGATAGTTTAGTGAGAATGATGATTTCCAATTTCATCCATGTCCCTACAAAGGACATGAACTCATCATTTTTTACGGCTGCATAGTATTCCATGGTGTATATATGCCACATTTTCTTAATCTAGTCTATCATTGTTGGACATTTGGGTTGGTTCCAAGTCTTTGCTATTGTGAATAGTGCCGCAATAAACATACGTGTGCATGTGTCTTTATAGCAGCATGATTTATAGTCCTTTAGGTATATACCCAGTAATGGGATGGCTGGGTCAAATGGTATTTCTAGTTCTAGATCCCTGAGGAATCGCCACACTGACTTCCACAACGGTTGAACTAGTTTACAGTCCCACCAACAGTGTAAAAGTGTTCCTATTTCTCCACATCCTCTCCAGCACTTGTTGTCTCCTGACTTTTTAATGATTGCCATTCTAACTGGTGTGAGATGGTATCTCATTTTTTTTTTTTTTTTTTTTTGAGACAGGGTCTCATTCTGTTGCCCAGGCTAGAGTGCAGTGGTTCAATCTTGGCTCACTGCAACCTCCACCTCTAGGGCTCAAGCAATCTTCCCACCTCAGCCTCCCCAGTGGCTGGAACTACAGGCTTGTGCCACCATGCCTGGATAATTTTTTGTATTTTTGGTAGAGATGGGGTTTTGCAATGTTGCCCAGGCTGTTCTCAAACACCTGAGATCAAGTGATCCACCTGTCTTGGCCTCCAAAGTGATGGGATTACAGGCATGAGCCATGGCACCTGGCCTATACTTCAATTTGTAAGATATCTCTGCTCAGACTTTTCAGAACTGCTTGGAAAAAAAAAAAAGCATTGTATTGGGCAGGTAACTCTTTGTTGAAATAGAAAATTTTGACTTAAGGAAGGCCATATATATCAACCACTTCAATACCCTTGTTTTTCAGACAATACAATGGATCTAGACAAGTAGATAATAGAATACAAGTAGACAATACAATGGGTCCAGATAAGTAGACCTAGCCTAGAGAGGAAAGGGCTAGTCCTTCTGTTGTCCTCACCTACCCCGTGAAGCAGGAGAGCAGGGATGTTGTGGCTGTGGCTGTGCTCCTACACTTCTTCTTCTTTTTTTTTTTTTTTTTTTTTTTTTTTGGAGACTGGGTCTCATTCTGTTGCCCAGGCTGGAGTGCAGTAGTTTGATCATGGCTCACTGCAACTTCCACCTCCCGGGCTCAAGCAATCTTCCCACTTCAGCCTCCCCAATGGCTGGGACTAGAGGCTGCCAGCTGCAGCTCTGACCAGATGGCATTGCAGCAGCTAGTTGCTGGCCCATCTTTTCTTTTAGAGAGGGAGCTCCACAGGAAGAAGCACCAAGTCCTATATATCTGTATGTGTCCAGCACTGGAACAGTGGCTGGCACATAGCAGGCACTCAATATTGGCTAAGTAAAGGGATGACCAATAAAGAAATATGTTCAAGGGATCAAAATTCAATCTTTATTTCCCTAACTTGCTAGCTGTCAGATCTCAGACAAGTCATTTATATTGGCAAACGGGAATAAAGGAATTATGTGTTAGGTAATCATGAATTACATGAAATCATCATCATGTTAAAATAATAGCAACTAATATTTTGTGTGCATTTACTATGTGACAGGCAAAGTTACAGTGTTTTGCAAATATTAACTCATTTAATTTTAAATGCATGTATATGAATACATTCATATAAATAGTCTATGTATGAGACTGGTTAGAGCTCCCTTTCTAATATATTTCTCACTGCATTTGCATTCAGTTTGGGGCATATTTGGTTTCAATTTCTGGTACTCCCTTGGGAGCAGATAGAATGGTGCAGATGACTTAGACTAAGACAAAGTGTTTGAGCGCTTATCCTGCTGTTGTGTGAAAATGGCACTGGGGGATAGAGAAAGTGATGGGGGATCACATTTCTTATAATGGGTGGCTCTATCTGTCTTAAGAAAGAGAGAAAATTAGTATTCTCCTAATAGAATGTCACAGAAGAATTCAACCTTCTTCATAATACTGTAATTAGTATTTCATATACTATAATTTTACTCTTGATGAGATAAGCACTTTCTGAAGAAATTTCAATATCTATATTGCTAGTGCTAGCAAAAAAAAAGCAATTTAAAATGACACATTTTAATACATAATAGCTGCCCCAACCTTTTGATGTAGCAGCATGAATATCAAATTCTCTGGGTGAGAATGAGGTTTGAGGTGCCTTCAAGGGGTTGGTGCCTTTATAAAGAACACAACACGTATCTGCTGAATGGAGCCAACCTCAGCCCCCTGGGTCCTTTAGTGATCAGACTGGTGAGAAAATTCCCTTCAGCTAATCTTGTCATAATTCAAGCCGACTTAACCACAGGACATGTTAGGAACCTAGTGAGATTGCTTGTAGATAAGCAGGAAGAAGGGTTATAATAATTTTGAGTCACCTACCATGTACTAGGCATCATGCTTTACCAACAGTATTTCATTAATCCTCATAGTATAGATGAGAAAAATCAATGCTCAAAAGAGTGAACTTACTACTGAACATGTAAGACTAATAGGTATTAACCCACATCTACCTAATTAGAAAGTCCATTCTCTGAACATTGCAATAGGCTGCCCCCCTGAAACAGGTTGTTTATAACAGAATTGCTTGGTGAGTGAATCTGATCTCTTAGCTGCATTCACTGAGGATAAGTCACTGAAAAGAAAAATCATGGACACCAAAAATTTCCCATGTATTTAAACAGCACTGATAGGGATATACACGCTCTGAAAATATCCTAGCTGATAAGACAGCCAGGGGTTGGAATAAAGAAATGTTATCCTTGGTTCGTTGTATTTTCTATGGCTTTCAAGTTAAGACTGCCTGCAGTGACCATAGCAGAAATGGCTGGTGATTACAAATGCTCATAAACATCCTCAACACATACATTTTTCTGAAAAGTAGCATAATAATATTGCTTTGGCATTGTACTATCTTCCTGTGAGTTGTTATTTCAACAGATAACTTTGATCATTTTCCAAAACAGCTATCAGAAATGTACAGATTGAGGCAGCTACTGGGCACTGCAGGTTGGGGGTAATTAAACCAGGTTTCCTCCACATGGATGGTGCTCCTGACCAGTGCTAATGATTATCATCACTGCACGGACAGCATAAATACTAGTGCTATTATCGCTGATAGTATGAGGAGGAAGAAGAAGAATGAAACCAGAAAGGAGAGCCGGAAAAATGACAAGGAAGGAAGTGGAGATTATTTATATGTTATTTACTATGTCGTGTTCATTTATGTGCTCAGCATGTAGCACGTTTTCTGGTAAATAATTGATTTCAATTAAGAATTATCAAAGGCATGGAAGTGTTTACAAATGGATGAATGGCTAAACGTTAAGAACTACCCTCATGTTTTACTTTGTTGGGGTTGCCACAACAAAATACCAGTTTACTGGGTATCTTAAACCAAGAAAATTAATTTTCTCAGTTCTGGAGGCTATAAGTCCAAGATCATGGCACCAACCAGGTTGGTTTCTTCTGAGGCCAGTCTCCTCGGCTTCTATACACCTGCCTTCTCGCTGTGTACTCAAATGAACTTTTTCTCGGTGTGCAACATGTCCCCAGTATCTCTTCCTCTTTTTTTTAAGGACATCAGTCCTATTGAATTAGAGCCCAACCCTTATGATCTCATTTAACCTTATTTACCTACTTAAAGTCACTATATTCAAGTACAATCACGTTGGGGGTTAAGGATTCCATCTATTAATTTTGGGGAGAGTATTTAGTCCGTAATACCAGAAAATTCAATTGTAACTTGAATGCTATCTTTATCATGAATTACTTCCGGATTCTTTCAGTTAAAATTACTATCTCTATCTTGAGCTTTCCTGTCACATTATAAATATCTATGCTAGAACTTCATCAGTTTGCCTTTTGTTTGAATATAGCAGAAACCTCCTAGCTGGCCTCTTTGTCTTTGGTCTTACTCTCCTTTTTCCTCTCTCATTCTGCATAGCTGTCAAAGCGAACTCACTAGAATGCTCACGAGATTGTGTTATTTCTCAGCTTTAAACTCATCAATGAGTTTATGAATATAAGTACAACTCCTTAAGATGAGGTTAAAATCTCTGCACAACCTGAAACACCGTCTGTGTAATAAAACTTGTCTTCCAAACCTCTCCACATCACACTCTGGCCACCCTATATCAAAGGAACCTCTGCTGTTCCAGATGTCTTGGCTGTAACCATGTTGTCCTTGCTTCCCATGGATTCCTGGTCCAGAGTTCTACCCACTTCATTGCAGTGGCCTATGGCCATGCACATGCACATACGCCTCGATCTCGCCAAGATTAAAAACATCCCTTTCTCCTCCACTCAGACTCTTCTTGTTCTTTCCTTTGTGCTTTCAAATGTTCATTCCACTGTAAAGTGCGCCCTACATGGGAGTCACAATAAGATGTATGTAGGAATAAGTATACACATTAAAATCTTGGCAGGAGTAGTTCCAACTGATGATAACCATCAGACCGATGTTATTAGATAACAGCTCTGGAACTCTGGAAAAGAAAATGGAAACTCTGGAAAGGAAACTCTGGAAAAGAAAAACCTGAAGGCATATGACAGAAAATAACAGGAGTCAGATATGGCGAGGGAGGTATTTATTCTTGAGCCATCTTTGATGGCTTTTGTCTAAGAACAGGCCCTGTGGGCGTCATACCTGGTAGGTAAAACTCAGTTGGAAAACATATCATTTTAGTGACTTGAAGAACCAGAAGAGAAGGGTTATTGTGATAGCAATAGTGTAAAAGTGAAGGAGAAAATCCAAGAAAGGAGAAAGCCAATGAACAGGAAGGCTAGGTTCTATACATAAAATGTGCCCAAATCTCTGTTTAATCTTTGAACTATGCAGGTACAAGGTAGATCCAAGCATCTCAAATGAGTAAAAGAAGAAAACAGAGATTTCAGTTGATGCATACCAGAGGAAGGCCAAAGTTTGGAGTTTGAGTTCAGTCAAGTTAATTGTTTGTCAAAGAAATAAATGAACTTCAAGTAAATATATGCAAAGAAACATAACAGAATCCAGAGTCTGTACAATATATGAACCACAGTGTTTGAGGCACAATGCTGGAGGTCAAGGGAGACCAAAAAGCAGTATCTAGCAAATGACAACTATGGCCTCTTCAAAAGCAGGCTGAGAATAAAGATGTATTAGATAAATGGAAATGGACAGGATTTGCCTCCAGCAGACCTATACCACAGAAAATGCTGGAGGGAGTTTATTAAGACAGAAATAAGATTACAACAGATGGAAAACCCAAGAAGGAATAAAAAACACTGGAAATGGTAAAATGTGGGTAAATATAAAAGACTATATTTCCTCTAAAATATATATGACTGTTTAAAGAAAAAAATGATATAAATTGGGTTGTGAAGTTTACAATGTACATAGACACAATACATATGACAACTCTAGCATACGGAAAGTGGAGGTGTTAAGTAGAATTACAAGGTTCTTAAATAATCTGGTACAATTTTAACTCTAAGTAGACAGTATGAGGTTAAGGATGTATCCTTTAATCCCTAGAACAACCACTAAAAAAAAAATAGGTAATAAGTCAATAAATTAAAATAAAGTTCTAAAATAATATTTAATTAATACAACAGAAGACAGAAGATAGAAAAAAAGAAAAATTAAAAATAGATGGAAAAAATGAAATAAATAAAATGGTAGACATAAACCCAACCATATTATTATTATATTAAAAGTTAAAAACATATTATATTAAAACTAGGTAAACAACAGGTTTGCATTTTGAGTATTTGTTCAACACCAGTGTGGTGTTAATGGGGCACAAGCCCAGGCCTAACCATTTAAGTAACAGTGTTCCTCTGACACATAACAGTTGTTCCATAAACAAGAGGAATTACGGCTCAAAACACTCATGTAATGGTTTCTTTATTTGAAACGGTTTTCAGTTCATTTTCTAATGTTTCTTACATATATATTTTTCAAGACATGTTGCAAAATAAACTTAAAATACAAATATATTTGAAAAGCTATATATATTTCAAATATATTTGAAATAAATGTATTTGTAGTTTTAAATGTGCTAATGTACATATTGATAAACTAAACATTTCACCACCAATCCTCTATATTTTTGTTTAACTTAATATTAATAGAATATTTGACAAGCCTAGTGTCATCCAGATCACACTTTGGGAAGTGGTGCCTGAGACTCCTCACCTTCTGTCTCTGTTCTGTGGAGGCCTGTACCAACCGCAAATTGGCAAGCATCGTGCTGAAGAAAGAAAAGACCTTATCCAGCTATTTAGAGGAGACGTGACAAATTACAGTGACAGAATACCTTACATTATACAGATTTTACTGTCTCTGGAACCCTCCTGGTTATTCTTTTCGTGTTTCATCTTCATAGTGACCTGATGAAGACAACAAGGAAGGTCTCTCTATTGCTTTTGCCGCCACTAACGACCATCATCAAGTGGGATTTCAAGAGGTGGGGCTGCAGGAATTATGTGGGCACAGGAATTCGGTGACTCAATATGTTTATCCAGACAGGGGTTCCACAGAAATTATTAGCCCGAAGCTCTTACCCACCCTAGGAATTTCCCTGTCTAAACTATAAAAAGAACTTTGATTATCCAGGCTTGGGAAAGTTAGTCAAATGTCCGGAGGAAACCTGGTTTCTTCTTTCATAAATGGTGTTAAAATTATCCTGGTATTTTATTGAGAAATAAATTACACCCATAAAGAAATGAATAGAATATATATTTATTGGTCTTTTTCTAATATTTCTTATACATTTTCTTTTCCAAGATATATTGCAAAATAAACTTAAAATATGAATATATTTTAATACAGTAAAACTAACACAAACTTTAAATAGCTGGACCAAGAATATTGGGAACAGCTGTAGCTAGCATTTCAGTTTGGGTATGGCAAATGCCAAAGCCCACACAGCTTGATGCATAGCAGGTGAGGAACCATTTCAGTTTTTCCCCTTTCTCCTTTCCTTAGGAAAACTTTTTTTCCAACCACCCTTTATATGGCTGATTCTGTATGTAGGAACTTTCACCAGTGTGTCTATGCACAATCAAAGCATATGTGCATTTGCCTTTCTAGAAAGAGGGGTAGGAGCCCTAAAACCAACATTATGTCAAGGCATCTTTTCAGGCACACAGTGAAGAGCTTCAACCAGCCTGTTGAGACTTTCACAACTACCCTGTAATTCAACGTTAAATACTTTCAGAAGCCTGGGAATCGCATTGAATATGCAAATTAAAACTCCCATGAAAAATCACACTGCCCACCATTGTAATGGTTTAATTACTGATGATAATAGCAGTTGTATGTCGATGAGCTCCAGTAAAACCTTCCAGCAGCCTGTAGAAATATGTGCCTTCTAGCCTAAGATGGGATGGAGTCTGAGGTAGACATAACATATGCTATCCCTTTCTTTCCCCTTTCCCCTTCTTTATGAACCTGGAAGATACTGTAAATTTATTTCAGAGAGTCAACATAATTTACTTAACCACCTTTGCCTTTGTTTAACTCCCCCTTTACTTCGCTGTTTCTGCTTGACACATGAAATTAATAATTAGGGTGAAAAATTATAATCACACCCAATAAAAGGCATCAGTTGACTGGGTTATCAGAGGTATTCCTTGGCACCAGGATTCCATGTGGTGAGGCCTTTCAGGTGCTGGTTTTGATTTTTCCCAGTGTGCATTTTGCTCCCACAGAGCTCTCTTAGAAGCCTACAGAAAAATGGGGAATGTAGATAGAATTGCATGCTGAGCTAATTAGGCTTCTATACTCAATTCTTTTGTCGGAGTGGAGTAGTTTTGGAGGGGAAGAGCAAAGCGCATCTTTACTCCAACACCTCATTGCTTCCCTATGCCAAGCAATATTGGAACGACACTCTGCAGCATTGGCCCATTGGTCATCATGGTGGGGTGCTAATTCTTTAAGCCTGAAGCATATGGAAATGAGCTTGCACTCTGGAGTTTAAAGGAAATTAGACTTGGCTAAAGTTAATTGGATTTAAGTTATAGAGTGTTATGGACAAAGTACAGGCCTTGCAGTCCCCTAGACCACTAGCTCTGTTACTAGCTGTGTGGCATTAGGCAACTCTTTCCACTTTTCTTGATAGTAGTTTATGCATTTATTTGTCAAATGAGTATGTGTAATGTACTCTTTGAAGTAATACTCAGTATTAAATAAGGAAATGTAGGTAAAGTACTTACACCTGGTACCTTGCGGTTTCTCAGGGCACAATAATTCCCTTTCATTGCATACAAATATTGGCAAATGCTCCTTTAGCTCTCTTTTTATTTTTCTTCCAATTTAGGAGCACTACGATCCTATAAGTGGGATTCAGTTTGTGGGGAATAGAGGCCAGGGCTTCCTGCATGTGGAGACTGCCATGTTTGTGCATGACTGCAACCAGCCCAGAAGCTGTATTTACAGGAAACACAGAGTTAAGTTTGATGGAAACAAGCAGTAATGTTATCTTTTGGAAAAAAGCAATATTAATACAGGAAGATCCTGATATAACATGATGTGAAATTGCTAACATAATAAAGCTATATGACATTTCTGCCTCAGTGTGAGTTCTTTCTAGAAGTCAACCTAAGAAAAAGAATCCAGGTAAGTGAATAAATGAGGTTTCTCTCTCCATCTCGGAGTGGTCCCTGATGTTCAATATAAAGGATGACAATGTTTTCCCCTGCGAAAGCCGCCCTACAAATTCTTGCTTCTCCCCTTATCAGCCCAGTGACTAGCCAACACAGGGGAAAATAATACCTACACACTCGGGATGTTGCTTAGCACATACATGAGAAGCAGTGGGGTAAAGTGGCTAATACTGCGGTTTCTGGAGCAAAATTACCAAGGTTCAAATCCTGGCTCTGCCACTTAGAGGCCATGTGACTTTGCACAAGTCACTTAACCTCTCTCAGGTTTGGCATCGTCATTTGTAAATTTGGAAATAACAGTACCTAATCATTAGGCTTGCTGCAGAGTTAACATTATAAAGTGCTTTGAACAGAGCTTGGCACAATGCAAGTGCTCAATAAATATAAGCAATTGTGTCTCAGACATGTTAGACTTTGCTATTCTTACATTCGATAATACATTCTGGCTTGCCAAATTGGGAATAACTATTTTTGAGTTAACCCAAATATGAATATCTGATCAGTGTATTGAAAATGTAAAGCAATGCTATTCCAATTATAGCACTTAATTGTGGTTAGTTTTTCTCCACATGCTTCTTTATTACAAGACTGAATTCTTTGAGAACAGGGACTGTCTGGTTTTCTTCTGTATTCAGAGTGCCTAACAGTATGTTTGGCACAGAGTGGGTAGTCAATAAAACTTGGCTGAAAGGTTGAATAATAAATTGACCAGGTAATTTATGAATGAACCAAAGAATGAATGAAAGATCTACACCATTTGTGTTCACACCCTGCCTCTTTCCTTATGTCTCCATGATTGTGTCTCTCAGAGGGGCTAATGATAAAAGAGGCCACTGTGAGAAGGGGCCAACTCTCAAGCCCAGTCACTCCCTTCCTCATTGCATCTGCTTGTGTTCATGTAAGCAGAAAAAGAAAAGGCATGCATTATGTTTTTATGAGCCTTGCGATTTATTCTGTTTTGTTGTCAGACCTTTGGGAATGCATTCTATAAACTTTATTGAGACAAGATACCTAGAGACGTTTGCATGTGTCTGAGCTCAGCACGATATTACTTTTTAATGCACTTTTGACTTTGCAGGAAGAGGATACAGTAAAAAACGTAAAACAGCAGTCGCCGGGTTTTTTTTGTATTACCTGCATTTTGCCTTCCTGGTTTCAAAACAAGCATCTCATTCAAATGAAATAAACGAATAAGCATTAGTTTGGCCCAGTTATAAATGGGATATTTCTGTCATTGGGTTAGAAACAGAGCTTTACTCCATGACAACAGGTACAGGGCATAGGGTGGATAGCATTCTTGTCAGTTGGGATCAGTGCCAGCTCTCCATTCTCTGTATGTTAGAAAAACAACCATATAGTGTCTGGCAACAAGGAAGATGATTGCAAATCCAGACTCACAGAGTCTCACATAAAGAGGGAATTTAACTTCCACCTTGGGGAGAAAAAGTCTCAGGGAGGTTTGGGGATGTACCATGGTCACATATTCAGTGCCTTGTCCTTATCATACAGTGGGAAAGAGGTGAAGGTACTCAGGGCTGAAACTGAAGTATGAAATCCTTATCATGAGGTCAGGGCTAGAGCATGAAACTGGACAACAAGGAGGCTAGATGTTGCCAAGTACAATGGAAAAGTACTGAAATGATGACAAATTCCAGCAATACTGGTATAAGAACTAAAGCCTGCTTGTTAATCTGAGGTCAAGCAAGACAGGTGTTGATAAGGAGGCAAGATGTGGAGAAGAAATGCTGGGAAGAAAGTGGGTGAGGAGCAGTTCTGAGACAAAGGGTCTGCTCTGCTCAGCCCTATCCCCTTGGTAAAGGTGGCTGTTGCAGAGAAGAGAAGGCAGCTAACAAATTCAGGCACGGAGCTCCAACATTCATCTGCCATCTGCAGCGCTTGGCCTTTCCTCTTAGACCAGACCACCCAACCACAATGTTAGAAGTTTATATACATATACTCATATCTTTTTTTTTTTTCCTGGAATTTACCCATAGGTGAGCAGCTACTTGCAGGTTAATTGAACAAATCTTTTCAAGAAAACTGACCCTTGGAAACAACACTTCAGGAAAGTTGCAGCAGAATTTTTCACTGTAAAATTTCTAATCACAGACAAATCCTAGGTCTCAAAGAATCAAATGATCGATGTTTAGGGCTCAGGTGGTTTTGTGGTAAAATAAAAGGAATTGAGACATTAAAATTTGGACCTTTCAGGAATTTCAAGTAAAAGGGAAAAAATCCTTCAATATTAATTTTTAATCCCTACATATAATAAACTTTGAAGGTTACAGCGTGCTTTCTCATCCTTTACAATAATCTTTGATAAGAACAGGGAGGTTAATTGATTTGCCTGTGATTATAAAGCTAGGAAGTGGCAAAGCTAGGATTTAAACCCATGTCCTTTAGATAATGTGGTGGCATTTCCTTCCCACTGCATGCCCCCTAAAAACATTTGTGCTTATATTAGTGGGGATATGGGAAAATTTTAGTGTTCATAAAATAAGTGGGCGTGGCTTTCCCTTACTTTAGAAGCCGATTTTATACCTCAGGTAGAAAGTCATTTGTTCCACAAACGTAGTTGTGTCTACATGTGTTTCGTGCACATTATCTATTAGCCCAGATTGCTGAGGGAGAAGGTGGGGTGGGAGGCAGGGGAAGAAATTACAGTAATGAATATAACCCTGGTTTTAGAATTACACCTCCTGGTTTAGTATTTGGGCTCCACTGATTATTGACTGTATGTTTTCATAGAGTCGACATCAGGAAGCCTTCCCTGACCTTTCCTATCCCTCCTCTGCCCTTGCCATGGCTGGGCTAGAGGCCCTCCTTCTGCTTGTAAAGCATCCTCTGTTACCTCTGTCATATGATTTATCATTCTGTAAAAAAGTTTGTTGAGGACAGGGGCTGGAAAGGCTTACTGTCTCACCAAGGCCTAGCCCTGTGCTTGATATATGGTGTGTTCTTAATAAATATTGGTCTATATACTAGATACCTTCCATTTGCCTCTTCATGTCTGCCATCCATCCTTTCCCACTCTGCTTTCTGCCCTAAGGAGAAGGCCCCTCAGGGCTATATTATTAGGGCTCCTATGCCCTCTGGTTCCACTGAGCTCAGCCAAAGGGGAGCCTGAAGAAGGGAACAGTGGAAGAAAAAAGAGTAAGGTCAGAATATTTCCCCAGAAAAAACCACCAGGGCTGGCCATGTCCCTTGATCAAGTGTTACTGTTCCTTCCAAGATGGGCTCTACATGCCTTTCTCTCATTCCAGGCTCTAGTAACCTCCCATCCATCCCCTCAAGCTTTCAGAACTAGGGTGATAACAGCTCTCTTCTGCTAACCCTCAGGTTTGTAAGACTGTCTTTGATAGTTCCCCTATATTCTGTCTATTCTTTCATAATTAGTCCCCTTAAAAAAACTTTTAATTAAAATACTCACTAATTTACTGATTGATATATTTGACTGAATAAATGTTTGCTCTTAATCTATCCTTCGCTATGGTTTCCTCATCTGTAAAATGGGGATAAAATGTCTTAAAAACATAGCTATTGGGTGATTAAACCAAATAATATATATACCATGCTTGGCTCAGTGTCCCACATAAAATCAACACCTAATGTGTTCAATTATAATAGTGGTAATGATAGTAATAATAACTGCTGAGGCCAGGAGTTCAAGACAAGCCTGGCCAACATGGCAAAACCCCGTCTCTACTAAAAGTACAAAAATTAGCCAGATGCGGGCGTGGTGGCGGGCACCTGTAATCCCAGCTACTCAGGAGGCTGAGGCAGGAGAATCGCTTGAACCCGGGAGGCAGAGGTTGCAGTGAGCCAAGATCACACCACTGCACTCCAGCCTGGGTGACAAGAGCGAGACTCTGTCAAAAAAAAAAAAAAAAAAAAAAAAACTGATTCGATATGGTCAACCAGCCTAATTATAAAGATACATGGTGAGATGAGAGCTGATAGGCTTAATGAGACCTTAAAATGGGTCATGAACTTATTTATTTATGTACCAAACACTTACAGAGCATGTTCCCAATGTTAGCTGCTAAGAATACAGGGGCAAACAAGACAGACCTGCCCACTGTTTTTACCATTGCATTAGCAGAAGCTGCTATCATCTCACCTGAATCATTGCACCCTCCTAACTTGCTTCCCTGCCTCCACTTTGCCAGTCCCCAGACCCCATCTGTCTTCAATACAGTGGTCTTTCAAAAACATAGATCACGTCCATCTTTATTTAAAATATGATGATGGCTCCTGAAAGGTACTGGGATTAAATCCACTCTCCTAGAGCCTGACGTGGGCTGGCCCTTGCCTAGCTCCTGTCTAATCTTGAGACACTCTTCAATTAGCTTGCTGAACTCCAGCCAGTTCATTAAGAATTGGTCTTGCTCAGTTCTTAAAACCACCCAGTTCTCACCTCATCTATTGTCCCTATGTTTGAGCACTTACTTTCACGAATCCATCTATGTCTCTGGCCCTTCCACTTCATCAGGATCCCTGCCTTATAGTACTTATTCCTTTTTGTAATTTTTTTTTATTTTAAGTTCTGGGGTACATGTGCAGAACATGCAGGTTTGTTACATAAGTATACATGTGCCATGGTGGTTTGTTGCACCTATCAACCCGTCATTTAGGTTTTAAGCCCCGCACGCATTACATTTGTCAATTAATACATTTCCCCAACTAGAGAGTAAGACTAAGGATGGCAGGGATGTGGACTTTTTGCTTAGTGTCATGTCCTCTATCACCATATGGTAAGTGCTCAGTGACCAAGACATGGTCCTTACCTCAGCAAAGCTCATCATTTTGTTCTTGTGGCTCCTATTAGCAATGGAAAGATATAAGACCTTTATTCTATTTATAGCCTCTAAGTAGGAAGACCTCATAAAATATAAAGGAGCTAAGAGACAATTGTGGGGATAGTGGAGAAATTTGACACTTAGAATTAGATCACATAGATTAAACTCCACTGCTCTTTTAAGACCAAATCAGCATACACAAGTAACTTAACTTTTTCAGAACCTCAGATTTTGTCATTAAAATGAGAATAATAATTACCACTTCACAAGATTTCTGGAGGACTGAGTGACATAAAATATTAAATGCACCTAGTGCAGTGCCTGGCACAGAGTAAAAGTTCAATAACTTTTATATTTTTACTTGTTTTGATCACTAGTACTATCATCTTTACCACAATATTCACCTTATTCCATGAAATGAAAGACCTGTAGAAATGTATATAAAAATAAGTGGATGAGATTGTTACATATGAGGCAACCACCCACTATCTATCTTAATGAAATGTCAAAAACAGAACTTAAGAAGTTTATATATAGTACAGTTAGAAGCCAGCTTTTCAGAAATTTCTCAGCCCTTCAGCATGAATCTAAGGAATAAGTTTAGAATTAGGTGTAGAGTTGTTAACTAAAAGAATGGGAATGGATATAATGGGAGTGCTGGAGTCTCAGAGCTGGAAGGAGGCTAGAAAGAGACAGGAGTTTTAGGCCTTTGAAGTGGAGGGGCTCCCCATGATCCCAAAACCCACAGGATGGTCTAGAACAGACAGTCAAAGAAAGTCCTGAAGCTAAGAGGAAAAATGTGTGTGTGTGTGTTTGTGTGTGTATAAAGTTTTATATATGCATGTGTATATACACGTACATAGATATGTTTATATATAATATTTTATACATTACACAAATACATTTATATACATGTTAAGTTGTAAAAACCAGTATTGCCATAAATGAAGGCCGTCATTGGCAAGACTTTAGTGTGGAGGTGGTTCTTTGGACTTGACAAAGATACTCAGGTGAAAAAGCAGCAGCATTGAGACCACTTGGCAGAAGCCAGGAAACTTTCAGTGGCCTCGGACCCATTCATCCAAATACAACGGTAATTATGTAATGTTTACAGAATGGCAAATTATTTTATTACACTGGAGGATAGAAAAGGGGCTCAGCGTATGGCTTCTCCCATTGGATTGCTGCTCTAACATTCCTTTTTGTGATAACCTATCCACATATGAATCAAACCAAGTCCTAGATTATTGAAAATCATTTAAACACCCAAGTAGATATCAACAATACCAGAAACCACCCCCTCCCGGCATCCTCTTTTTATGCTTTCATTCTGTCATCATGCAATCACCATTTTGGGATTGTTGTTTATATTGCTCCCCAGGACAAAGTGTGGTGATGGGTAAAGAGCAGGGCCTTCAGGTCTGCCAGAGGTGGACAGGAGGCCCAGGTTGGCTTCTAACTAAAAAGACACCTCCCTTGTCCCATTTATATATATATAAAATTATATATGTGATTATATGACATATAAAATTATATTATATATATAATTATATATATTATATATACACACACATATATATATAACTTTAAGTTTTGGGGATACATGTGCAGAATGTGCAGGTTTGTTACATGGGTATACATGTGCAGTAATGGACTGGATAAAGAAAATGTGGCTCATATACACCATGGCATACTATGTAGCTATTAATTAATATTTATGGTACTTTTTATTTAGTTTTACACATTATCTAAAATCTGTAGTGGACTGACACAGAAAAAACAGTGCCTATTTCCTGACCTTAATTTCTCAGAGCCTCAGTTTTCTCATCTGCAAAGTGGAGATAATGGTACGCACTCCAGTGGAATATATATTAATATTATGCCTTATCATACAAAGAATTCAGGAAATAGAGGTACTTTGGGGAGGATTAAATGAGGCAAAAAAAGTAAACTGCTTATCAAAGTGTTTGGAACAAGATACACAATCATTTTCTATTAATCCTCTTCCTCTGCTTACGTATTTTCCTCTTGTAGTAGTAAATAGAAAAATTAGCTTAACTTCCTCCCTCCATCTCTTCTCACTTCCCTGCCTCTTTCTACTTTTTACTGAAACAAATTAATAAGCTTTTACTGAAACTACAATGGACAAAGCATGGTGCTAGACACCAAGGACGTAAACATAAAGAAGGAAAGATCTCTAACTTAAAGAAACTCATCCTAGTGGGGAAGAACACAAATAGGCAGTTATGTTTTGAGATGTATTATATTGGGGATATTACAAAGTGCTACGCAACCACAAACGAAGGCTTGCTCGGGAGTGGACTCACGAGTTGGCTCTTACACGTTGAGCCTGATGTCAGTTCTGTTCCTAGAGAGTGTTTGTTATCTGTGACCACTTCTTTTCAGTCTCGGGGGATCTCTATTTGTGTGTTAGAGGAAGGACCTTTCTAAGGTTGGTTGGATTCTAGACACAAACCATCTTCCTAATAAATGACAAAATCCACTTAAGGAATAAATGTTTGGGGATTTGTCCTCAGTTTGGCAAAAGGAAGACTTGAGTGGCCTTCCAAGGAAATTGGACTACTTGGCCCTTTGATTCTGTCTTATGCCCCCACCAGCCTCCCTGATGCTATGAGAATCAGAGATTGCTAGGAAACAATTCTTCCTTCTCCTCATTCTTCTCTTTTGTTAAGCTCAGTGCTTTCTTTGCAAGCAGAGAGGAAGTTAGCTCTGACGATACTGCAATCTGCGATATTTGGGAAAAAGATCACATCGCTGTTATTTATTGGAACCGCTCTTGCCTCCCACGCAAGTCCTTGTGATATAATCTGGATAATGAAAGTTTTACTGCTTGCATTTACACATCTATTCAAAAGAGTTCTTGCCAGCCACTGGCCCTTTTGAAAAGAAGGCTTATAATAGATTCTAACATCTTTATTGACACAGGTATTGAGTGGCTTCTAGAAATGTATATTCAATAAGTCTATATTTTGGCTTCACTATTTTTCACTTTTTGCAAGCAAAAGTCTTAATAACAGATGTAGTTGATATCATTTACATGGACATTATCTATATAGATATCTGTGTCCATATCTGCTTCAATTACATACCTCTCTTTGGATAACAGCATCCTACTTCTTGGGAAAATGTTCCTTCTGTCTACTAAAATCATGTGGTCCTAGTGGAAATAGTGAATCTCAGAATGCTACCTCCTTGATACACTTGTGAACGATTGATCTAGGATGGGCCAATCACAAACCTTCCCCAAGAATTTTCATGCTGGAAATAAGAAAAAAGCCCCTGTCTTCATGGTGATTTAACGTGGCGGGATGTTGCTGTCCCTCAAGCTGCTGAGGAAAGTAGAGATGGAGGATAAAGAGAGGAACTTGGTGCAGTTCCAGAGCCAGGTCCCTGTCATATCGGAGTTATTCCTACATTCCTACTCTTCTTCCATTTGGTGATGAGCCAGTAAATTCTCCCTTCTAAATATCCTAGCTTCAGTCAAATGTTGCAGCTTGTAACAAAATTCATACTGAAATATTTCCCACTCTCATTGCTACCTTTTTTGTTGTTTTTACTCAGGAAGCAGTTGGTGGGGTGAGGTGGCACTGTTGCAAGTTCAAAGTGAAAGGTTAAAGATAACCGTAAAGTCCTAGGGCAAATTAGAGTCCTGAAGTGAAAAGAAGTGTAAATAAAAGGAAAGGAAGATGGTTTTAAGGCTGTATTAGTTTACTAGGGCTACCCTAACAAAATATCACAAATTGGGTGGCTCTAAGCAACGGAAATTTGTTCTCTCACCATACTGGAAGCCAGAAATATGAAATCAAGGTGCCAGCAGGGTCATAATCCTTCTGAAGTCTCTAGAGGAAAATCATTCATTGTCATTTCCAGCTTCTGGCGGCTCCTGGAGTTCCCTTGGTTATGGCAGTACAACTCCAGTCTCTGCCTTCATCTTCACACGGCCTCTTTCCTCTGTTTCTTTCTGCGCACTCTTTTCAGACCTTTATAAGGAAATTCTCACTGGATTTTCAACTTGTCCTAAACCAGTATGATTTTATCTTAATTTTCTTCCTAATTGCATCTGCAAATAAGGTCATGTTCTAAGTTTGTGAGCGAACATGAATTTTTGAGGGCAAGTATTCAATGCACTACAAGGGCCAAACTGAACTGAGTTTGAAATGTGGATCTTATAATCAATTGCTAACTTTGTAATTCTAGGTAAAATCATTTAAACTCTCTGAACCTCATTTTCTTTATTTACAAAATTGGTGTAATACTACCTATCTCTAAGAGAAGTGTATGAACTTCACTTTCCTTAGTGGGTGACACATAGCAGATGCTTAAAAATTATAGTTTTACAACCCCTTTACTTTATTAATGATTGACGTTGATTATATAAAAAGGGGTAATTGAATACACGCCAAACAGAAATGTAAACAATCTATTGTGTGAGTTTGAGGAGGATCAAGGAAGGCTTTGCGGAGGAGGTGTCATGTTTAGATGGACCTTAAAGAATTAATAATTTTATTAAGTGAAGAAGCTACAAATGTGCAACTTAAGTGCAGTTCAGGAGAGGTTCTAGTCTGATACGGTCAAAATAAAATATAGGCTTCTAGTGGTTCAGTTCCCTCCACATGACTCCTTTAGGGGTGGAAAAATACCATACACTTCAGACAAATCACTAGTTTGCTAATTAGAGTTTTTATAAATGTCAGTTAAAAAAAGTAATTTCAAGGCTACAATCTATACAGAGAATCTGGAGAGTAACTATCCAATATTGTGGAAAAGGGTGGATTTTTATATTTTGGAAAAGAGTGATAATCAGGTTGAAATTTTACAAGGAACATTGAGAAACCAAAAATTTGACGAACACTACACCGTTTACAAAGCATGCTGTAATTTGCAAGTTATTTGTCTCTTTCCCCCATAGATGGCAAGTTTCTTGAAGATAAGGGCTCTGTCTGCCCGTTGGTGTCTGCAGTGCCTAGCACATAACAGGTATTCATAAAATATTTGGTGAACAAGTGAATGAAATTGTATCCTGTGTTGTATCCCACATGAAAAATCAGTGATATGTAATCCTGAGCCAAGTGCTATCAGTCATATTACTCTTTTTCTCCATAACTCTGCTAATGAGAGTCAAGATGTCTAAAACTTGGAAGTAAATTAGGATTAAGTGTGGACAGTTGATCTTTCTGTTTTCACCTTTGCACCTTTCTCTCCCCAGTTGATTATATTCATATAAGAGTGATCCTTTTAAAATGTGAGACCTCATCACTCCTCTGCTTATAACCTCTAAAGGTATCTGTGGTAGATTAGAGAACACTCTAAATTCTTGCTATTCATCCTTTTAAAAGGTGGAGTCCCAATCTATTTATCCTCCCCTTGAATCTTCTCTGGCCTTAATAACTTGCTTGACCAAAAGATTTTGACAAACATCTCTGCGGGACTTCTGAACTTAGATTTTATTTCTTCTAAGAGGTATCACTACTGAAACTTTATGTATGTATTTGTTTAATGTCTGTTCCCTAAACTATATCATAAGCTACATGAAGATAGAAACTATGCCTGACTGCTCACGGCTGCATTCCCAGGGCCTAGAACAGTTTCTCCTGCATACTTGGCACTTAATAAATACCTGTTGAATGAATGAATTGAATGGCACTTACAAAATTGGATTGTTAACACCATGCTGGTGAAAAGGTAGTATTTTCAAAATGTTCCCTTTCCCTGGCAGAAGATAGGCTGATCAGCTTAATTGTTATTTCCTCTGCTTGAATTTCTGTGATTTAACTTAATCTTCCATCCTTGCCCTTCAAACCTATGTGCTCTTGATTTAATCAGCAGGATCAAAACTATTGCACTTCCCTTTGCCCCTGAGCCACTAACAGAAAAATGATTGACAGTTAATCATGTCTGAAGAGGATCTCTTTCTCCCTTTTGCCTTTCTTTAAAGTAGGGTTGAACTAGGTTATCCACTTGAATAAATCCTGTTAATACATATTTTTAACTTATTTCTCACAGTACATGTATATGGGTGTTTTAATTTTTCTCTTTTAAATAGAGCAGCAGTCCTCATAAGTTTATATGGAAAAAATGCAATAGAAGATAAAAGGAGGTAAACTGACATTGAATGTCTACTATATATGTTGGCCGTGTGCTTAACTTTTCAGTTTACAAAATATCTAGCCCTTATTTCTGGTCTTTCGGGATATGAATCATTTCTGAAATTTAAGCCTCTAGCACTCCTATGTCACACAGAATTGCAGACATCGGTCAATAGATATCATTGTCAATATTAAACAAAAATTTGCCAAAAGTTTAATATTTAGTAGCACAAATATATAATAATATGCTTTTTTCCTTCATGTGTAAATCAGGTAGCCTGGGAGCTCCATATTTTCAACAAACCAACCATATCCCTAGAATAGAAACTCCATAAGGGCAGGAGATTTTCCTTTTGTGCATAACGTTACCCCCTGTGCCAATGCTAGTGCCAACTCCATAGTGAATACTCAATAAATGTTGCTGCTGAATGAACACTATTAATTTATTGGAGGAACCACCTATCATCACTGGTCTAATACAATTTTTAAACAACTACATAGCATAATTCTTATTATCACAAAAGAAAAATTATACCCCAATATTTTGAGGTGTCTAACCTGGTGATTAAACTCTATGTAGCCTCACTTATCTAGACTTGATGTAAGTACTTCCATGTTCAATTCAAAGTACGTTTTTAATTTTCAACTCAGTATTAGCTACTCAAGCAGGATTTCTCTTATCCCTGGGTTTCCTTCTCCCAATCTCTTAATGTACTGCCTTCTCATTTTTTTTTCCTGATGTTTACTCTCCCAGTCTCAGCTTATTTGTCTGTTAAGGCATAATAGACCAATAAAAATTCTATGCAATTTTGGTATACAGTGGGATATTTTGATACATGTATGTATCATGAAATGATTAAATTGAGCTAGTTAACATATCCATCACCTTACATATGTATTTTTTTGTGGTGAGAACATTTAAGATCTACTCTCTTAGCAATTTTTAAATATACGTTAGTATTATTAACTATAGTTACTATGTTGTACAATAGATACTCAGGACTTACCCATTCTAACTGAAACTTTCTACTTTTTGATCATCGTTTTCCTAGACCATCATTCCACTTTCTACTTCTGAGTTCAACTTTTTAAAGATTCCAGCTATAAGTGAGATAATGCAGTATTTGTCTTTCTGTGCCTGGCTTATTTCACTTAGCCAGGTTCTAATAATGTTCTCCAGGTTTATCCATATTGTTGCAAATGAAAGAATTCCCTTTTGTTAAGGCAGAATAGTATTTCATCGTATATAAATACATCACATTTTCTTTATCCATTCATCCATTATTGGAAACTTCTATTTGGAAATATACTACAAGACTATAATAATTAAAACAACATATTATTGGCATAAAATCAGACATATGGACCAAAGAAACAGAATAGAGAGCTCAGAAATTAATGTACACATTCATGGTCAGTTGATCTTTTTCAAAGGTACCAAAAACACACAACAGGGAAAGGATAGTCTCTTCAGTACACGTGTTGGGAAAAGTGGATATCCACATACAAAAGGATGAAATTGGATCCTTATCTCACACCATATACACAGATCAACTCAAAATTCAGTAAAGATTTAAAGATAAGACCTGAAACTGTAAAAGTACTAGAAGAAAACATAGGGGAAAATTTCCATAATTTTGGTCTGGGCAATGATTTATTTATTTATTTATTTATTTATTTATTTATTTATTTATTTATTTTGAGAAGGAGTCTCACTCTGTTGCTCAGGTGGAGTGCAGTGGTGTGATCTTGGCTTACTGCAACCTCTGCCTCCCCAATTCAAGTGATTCTCCTGTCTCAGCCTCCCAAGTAGCTGGGACTAGAGGTGCACACGACCACTCAGCTAATGTTTGCATTTTTAGTAGAGTCAAGGTTTCACCATGTTGGTCAGGCTGGTCTTGAATTCCTGACCTCAGGTGATCCACCCATTTTGGCCTCCCAAAGTGCTGGGATTACAAGTGTGAGCCACCATGCCCAGCCTGGGCAATGATTTCTTGCACATGACCCCCAAAACACTGGTAACAACAGCAAAGTTAGACAAACGGGATTGCATGAAACTAAAAAGCTTCTGCACAGCAAAGGAAATAATCAACCCAGTGATGAGAAAACCTACAGATTGGGGGAGAATATTTGTAAACCATACATCTAATAAAGGATTAATATCCAAAATTTATAAGGAACTCAAACAACTCAATAGCAAGAAAACAAATAACCTGAACAAAAAGTGGGCGAAGCACATGAATAGAATTTTTCAAAAGAAGACTTAAAAGTGATCAACAGGTATATGAAAAATGCTCAATATTACTAATCATTAGGAAAATAAAATTAAACCACAGTGAAATATCATGTCACACAAGTGAGAATAGCTATTATATAAAAAGACAAAAAACAAAAAACAAAAAAAACCAAGTATTGATGAGGATGTGGAGAGAAAGGAAACTTTGTGCACCAGCAGTGGTAATGTAAATTAGTACAGCCACTGTAGAAAACAATACGGAAGCTCCTTAAAAAATGAAAAATAGAACTACCATAAGATCCAGAAATCCCACTTATCCATATGTAGGTATTCAAAGGAAGTGAAATTAGTATATTGAAGAAATACTAGCATTTCCATATTCATTGCAGCATTATTCATAATAGCCAAAATGTGGAACCAATCTGCTTTCTTATTCTTGGCTATGACAGTACCTTCTGTTCCCTTTGATTTGGTGCCATCCTCCTCCTGATGACACACATGCACACACTCCCACACAGATATACCTGGATTCTCAGCTCTACATTCTCTCTCACTGCTAGCAGGACCTGAAACTCTTATGAGACTGTCTCTCCATTCATTTACTTAGAAATACTTATTAAGCAACTGCTATTAGTTGAGCTCTGTAGCAGGGGCAGAGACAGGGATAGATCTTAGCCTTAATTCCTTAGACATTGAATTACCTGAGTAGCCTACTTTCTATGCCATGTACCAGCATCCTGGATTTCCTGCCAGAAGGAATGATCAATGATTAACAATTATAACCTTCAAAGGGACTAAGATGTTTATAAAGTGCCTGTTTTTAAAGATATTTATTTAATAATCCTATATAAATAAATGGAGTGAATTATCAGTAGTAGGTCTAGACATATTCAAAGAATGCACTATTTTGTAAGGTCAAATAGTGTTAACATATAGATGAGTCATACATTACAATTACATTTTTTAGATTATTCAAAGAAAAAACATGGAAAACAATATGAATGTCTATAGTATTGTTAAGGGGATGAATATTTTTTAATTTATAGCTCACACTTTGTTTGGATTTCTTCAAAAATCACCTTTAGCTCTTTTTAAGTTAATGTGTGAGGTGGAGGGAGATGTGTGAGTCAAAAGCATAAATCCTTTAATGACTCGACAAGTACTTATTTAGCACCTACCCAGCTGTTTGCTGCGTCAGGTGCTATGTAGACTAAAGAGATTAAATAAGGTTGTCCTGGAGATGCTAATACACAAAGAGTAGTAAATTACACTACACGGGAAATAACATGGTATTGCATGCTGGGGACTATTTTGCAGCTAGAACCTCAACGAAGTTGTTCTTCCCACAAAGAGGAGTGTGCCATGCTCACTCCCATAGAAAAGCATGGAAACTCAATCAGGAGAACTTGGTAGAAATGACAACAGGGCACAGAACATTCATATCAGGACAGAGAGTAGGGTCAGGGAAGATTTTAATGCTAGGCAAACAAAGAGATAGAAAGCCCTTTGGTAGTTTTGAGTAATTACTATCAGGCATTTAAAGGATCTTGTAGGCACAGACATTTATCGATATTAATTAATAAAGACTTGCAATTGAAGTAAACCTGAGTGCTTACATCAACAGACAGAAAGAACAAACCACCAAAGTGACATCATGGCATAGATGTGCCTGCCATGCTAATCTTTTGGCCTCTAATCTTTTGGTCCTATAATTTTTCTAAATTGTCCAATACCTTTCTCATGTCCTTTTCCTCCCTAGCCAGCTCTTATTCCTTCACGTGTTAATGTAGATCAGTGGTTCTCTACTTTTTGTTGTGAACCTTTGGCGTTTGGATCACCCATTAAGTTGTCTTCCACATCTGCTTAAGTCACCTGCTTAGAGAAGAGGCTGAAATAGTCACCTGGGTATTTACTCCATTTGACTTTGTGAGAATGAGTCTAGGCCTTCTTTACCTCGTTCTCTAAATAATCTCATTTGGTTCCATGATTTTAAGTACCATCTACAGGTTTAGGAATCACACATGCATATATAACTGAATCCCAGATCTCTTTCTCTTCCAGGCTTTTATGTTCAAGGCCTACAGACCATCTTCATTTAAATATCTGATAGTCCCTAAAATCCCAAAGGTTAAAACAGAGCTTTTCACTTCCTCATACAAAATGATTGTTCCTCCAGTCTTGTCTGATAAACAAGATTATAATTTACTAGGTTGTTCAGGCCAAAAACTAAGGGATAATTCTTAGTTTCTCTCTTTCTTTCCTCCCCATCTCCAACTCAGTCCATCATGAGGTCCTGTTGTTGTCTCTGAAATAGACCCCAAGCCCCTCCAATCCTCTTTGTCTTCCTTTTAGCCACTTTTCTAGTCCATGCTCTCCTCCTCTCTTGCTGCATTACTTTAAGAACTTCCTAACTTGTTTTCCTGTTTTCACTCTTGCTCATCTTCCATGTGCTATGTACAAAGTACCCGATTTATTTTATTTATCTTCTTACAAAGTAGCTAGTGTTTTGAAACCATAATTTATATCGAATCACTGTGCCACATAAAACCCAACCCTTCAAGATGACCTTTAGAATAAATTCCAACTTAATAGTGTGATTTACACACCAACATAATCTATACTCTGCCTATTGCCTACTATGACCCGGTCTTCAACTCGCTCACTGAGGACCCCAATTCATGGACCTCTTTTCTGTGTATTCCTTCAGCATATGATTGAGTAACATTTCTGTGACAGACACTCTTCTCCAGCAGTGAACAAAAATGTCCCTGCCTAAAGGCACTTACACTTCAGTGAGGAAAATGGATAATAAACAAATAAATACATAATGCCAGATGGGATAACTGTTGTGAATAAAGTCAAAGAAGAGAATAAATAGTCAAATCAACCCTGAGCAAAATGAACACAGCTGGATACATCACACACCTGACTTCAAAATATGCTACAAAGCTATAGTAACCAAATCAGCATGGTACTGGCATAAAAGCAGACACATAGACCAATGGAACAAAAGAAAACTCAGATCCACACATTTACAGAACCTCATCTTTGACAAAGGCACCAAGAACATACATTGAGAAAAGAACGGTCTCTTCAATAAATGGTGCTGGGAAAATTGAATAACCATATGAAGAAGAATGAAACAACTTGCCTCTCTCTCACTATACACAAAAATAAAAACAAAATAAATTAAAAACTTAAGTCTAAGACCTGAAACTATGAAACTACGAAAAGAAAACATTGAGGAAATGCTACAAGAAACTGGTCTGGACAAAGATATTTGTGTAAAACCTCAAAAACACAGACAATCAAAGCAAAAATAGACAAATGATATTTTATCAAGCTAAAAAGCTTCTGTACAGCAAAAGAAACAATCAATGAAGTGAAAGAACAATACATAGAACAGGAGAAAATACTTGCAAACTGTCTGACAAGGGATTAACATCTAGAATATATAGAGAGCCCACACTACTTAATAGCAATAAATAAATAAGTAAAACAAATAATCAGATTAAAAATGGACAAAAGATCTCAATAGACATTTCTCAAAAGAAGATATACAAACGGCCAACATATATTATACATTAAAAAATGGTCAGGCTGGGCGCAGTGGCTCATGCCTGTAATCCCAGCAATTTGGGAAGCCAAGGTGGGTGGATCACCCGAGGTCAGGAGTTCAAGACCAGCCTGGCCAACATGGCAAAACCCCATCTCTACTAAAAATAAAAAAATTAGCCAGGTGTGGTGGCATATGCCTGTAGTCCCAGCTACTCGAGAGGCTGAGGCAGGAGGATAGCATGAGTCTGAGGGGTGGAGGTTGCAGAGCCGAGATCACATCACTGCACTCCAACCTGACAAACTTTGGGCGACAGAGCGAGGCTTCATCTCAGAAAAAAAGAAAAAAAAATTGTCAACACCACTGATCATCAGAGTAAGGCAAATCAAAACTGCAATGAGGTACCTTCTCACCCCAGTTAGAATCCACCCCAGTTAGAATGGCTTTTATGAAAAAGATAGGAAATAATGCATGCTGCCAAGAATGTAGAGAAAGGGGAACTCTTCTGCATTGTTGGTGGAAATATAGATTAGCAAAGCCACTATAGAGAACTGTATGGAGGTCCCTCAAAAAGCTAACAATGGAATCATCATAAGATCCAGCCATTCCACTGCTGGATATATATCCAAAAGAAAAGAAATCAATACATGGAAGAGATACTTGCACACTCATGCAGCACTAATCACAAGAGCCAAAATATGAAGTCAACCCTAAATGCTCATCGATGAATAAATGGATTAATAAAATGTGGTATATGTACACAATGGAATGTTTTTCAGCCATCATAAAGAATGAAATCCTGCCATTTGCAGTAAAATGATGGAACTGGAGATCATTATATTAAGTGAAATAAGCCAAGAACAGCAAGATAATTATTGAATGTTCTCACTCACAGGTGAGAACTAAAAAAGTAGGCCTCTTGAAGACAGTGGATTCATGCTTACCAGAGGCGGGGAAGGAGAAATAAAAATAAGTTGACTAATTGGTACAAATGTACAGTGTGACAGAAGAAATGAGACCTAGTGTTTGGTAGATCAGTAGGGTGGCCACAGTTTATTTCAAAATAGCTAGGAGAGAATAATTCAAATATTTCTAGCATAAAGAGAAGACAAATAATTATGAGGATAGATATCCTGATTACACTGATTTGATTTTATAAATTATATGAATATATTAAACTATCACATATACCCCCAAAATGTGTATATCTACTATGTATCAATAAAAAGATAAAAAAATTTAAAGAGTAAGGATATAAAGTGTGTACTCTGGGCACACTCACAGGCCACATTTCTTCCTTTTCTCAAGGTATTTGCACTTGTTTTTCATGTCTGCAACCCTTTCTCCAGGCTCTCCAAAGGGACAGTTTGTTCTTATTTCTCAGGACTTTTCTTAAATAGAATCTCCCCAGAGAGGCCACCCCTGAGCATCCTTATAAAGTATTTGCTTCTCGCCTTCAGTTTCTGTCTGTTATGATACTCTCTTTTTTTTATAGCATGTATCATATTCTTTAACTACCTTTAATAATATGGTTGCTAATCTATTACCTTTTACATCACTAGACAGTAAGACCCATGACAGCAGAGGGCCTTGTTCATCTTATTGCATATTTAGTCACTACTGCTTAGAATTGTGACTGAAAAATTGTGGATGCTCACAAATTCTTGTTGGATGAATGAACAAATGTCTTTGTCAAAGTTCTGGGTCAAGGAACCTCTGCAAGTATTGAAATATACATTTCCACATGGTAAATACTCTTTGAAGTGTAGGTCAGTCATGTGCACTTACAAGCAGCTTACTTTACACAACTCTGTTATAATAAGCTTACTTGTTGGGATGAATACTACACATTACCCTAAAGATGTGAAACTCATTAAGTAACTTCAGGTTTCTATTGTTACTCTGTTAGTCAAAAAAGAAAACTCTCAGTGCATTTAACATCAAACATTATAGTCAAAATTACAATGGCTTGGTGTTTTGGTGTCAGAAAAGCCGTAATTTAAGTCCCAAAGATCCCCTTTTACAACGTTGTGACCTTTGACAAAGTCACTTAATATTTCACAGCAGACGTTTCTCCTCTGTGAGATAAAAACAGCAATACCTAACACCACAGGGGGTTACTAGGATTAAGTGAGATAGGGGGTGGAAAGTGACTGTGTATATGAGTTAATCAATATGTGTTTATTTGCATTGTTGAATTGGCTCTTACCCTGTTGCCTGTCGAGTGTTCTGCAGGATGAAGACTCTTAGGTGGATATTAGCCTGCAGGAGGTGTTTTAAGGAATACCCTGGGGATCAATAACCATGAAAAGGAAAGGAAGGGAGCCCTATCAAGGAGAGGGAGAAGCCTGCCATGCTTCAAAACAAAGGGCTACCCTTCTCCACCAAGAGATCTGGAACTGGGATAGCCCTTCAGAATTGCCCCTATTAAGTCAGGAGGGCCAGATTGTTGTACCCATACGTGGACCCACCACTGGATACAGCTGCCCAGGGAGGGGTCAGGGCCTTGGGAGAGGTGACTCTCTTTAACCCAGGCAATCCCTGTGGGAGGTTGGAATGTGGGGGCCATCTGCCAGCCACACTCCCAGCATTCTGAGGGAATAAGTCCCTCAGTCCTGAAGAGGAGTCTGGATAAAGAACGACAGCGTCTTCAGTGTCCTGGGTTTTAATATAGGTCCATAAACATATCATTTTTTCAATAAATAGTTATTGAATGCCTGTTGTATGTCAGGCATAGTGTCAAACATGGGATACACAATGATGATTAAAATTCTGTTTCTGCCCCTAAGGAGTTCACAGGAAAGCATGAGAAACAGATATATATATATATATATACAATGAATGTGTCTTCCACAAACCCATAGCTGAATACAAGTCAAGGAAGGCATAGCAGTAATAACTCCAACCTTAGTGAGAAACCCTGGAGTCATTACCAAACTTAATCTTGCAAAACACTTTTGTGTTCTGTGGCAGTTTGAATTCTCATCTCTTCTTTTAATTTTCTAAAATAGATGTAAATCAGGAATATCATTATTTAGTGACCACATCAATGAGATACCATTTTCCATTTTAAAATAAGTCACCACTCCAATGTTAGTTCAATAATTTTTATAAGGAATTGGAAACTACAGGCTAAGAATACGTTGATCTACATATCTATTCAGTTGCTAAAAAGGAACACAAATAGATTCATAAGTAATGAGATAACTGACCTTGTGCCACTAATGGTTAATACCTTCAAGTAGATATTTCCCTGTAATTGCTGCAATTAAAGATACCTTTCTGGCCCTACACTTTCTGGGTTATGAAAGTCACATATGTACCATAAACCTAGATCAATGGACATTCACCAAGCTCTATCATCACAGCCTTTCTGGGCTTCTTTTCCCAAGCACAACAGATATGGCCAACTTAAAAAAAAAAAAAAAAAAGAAACACTCTGTGCTTTTGAAATATGAGTGGATATAAAAGACAGCAGGTGGCTGAAACTGGATGGAATGTTCAAATTTTAATTAAACCATCAGTGCAATTGCTAATGGTAACAGTTTGTTGAAGGAATAAATGACTGAGATCAGTGAGAAAGTAGAATAAGTGAAGAGATTTTTTAAGACTATATTCGATGACTCACTTGGAATCATAAAAATTTAAGCTCAAGCATCTTTGCCTTAAGCAAGTCTTTCTCCTACTCTTAGTAAGGTTATGTGCCCCTTTGGGGTGCTAATATAATACTCTGTGCTTGCCTTTATTGCATGTTGTCCCCTTGTAGAGAGCATCCCTGAGTCTTTATGGGGACTTAATACATGCAGCGAGTAGGGCAATTTTATTAAAGGTCTCAGTGATCTTTTCAGTTTATATAATAATTATAAAGACATAGTAATTGTAATTGTTGGAAATCTACTATGTACCAGATACTTTTATGGCTATAAATACATTATTTCATTCAATCTGTGTAACAGACCTCCAAGGTAGGTATTATCATTAAAGAAAAAGTGTTTAAATCATTTTGCAAGTGAGAAAACTGAGGATCAGACAAGTGAATTACCTATCCAAGATCACATAGCTAAAATATGGTGGCACTAGCATTCAAACTTAGTCCTCTATGTATTAAAAAAACATTAAACATCAGTCATCGGCTCCTCGTGGTTACAGAATAAATTGGTGGAGGGTTGACAATAGTTTTCTTCAGGGGTGGCCCATACATAGCCTTAGAAGCAGTGTCATTGATAAAACACTTTCTCTTTAGTCTATACCAGTTTTTCTCAACGTTAGCACTATTGACAAATGGGGCTGAATAGTACTCTCTTGTAAAGGATATTCCTATGCATTGGAGGGTTTTTAGGACCATCACTGGCCTTTAACCATTGTATTCTAGTAGCACTCTCTGAATTGTAATGGCCAAAAATGTCCAGACATCACGAAATGTCCCTGGGGTTGAGGAAGGGAAAATTTCCCTGTTTTAAGAAGCAGTAGTCTACACACACAATACAAATTCTATCACGTGCTTCTTGCAAGGAGAGTGTTAGTGTGTGTGTGTATTTAGGGTAGGACTCCCTTTAGTTTGATTATAATGAACTCCACCTGCAAGTGAAGTGAGAAAGAGATTTAATGAGTTGCTAAAATGTTCTAAAGTTAATATTTAAGCCAAATGGGATCAGCACTTTTCTTGGAGCAAAATGTGAAACTGAAAGACAAAAACAAGCCTTTGCAAAGGTGTTTCTGTGTTGAGTGAATCAGTCCCTGGAGTCTCACTCCACTAAACTTTACAGTGTACGTTTTCTTAATGGCAACCAGGGAAAATAGACACTAATACTGCCCCCACTGTATACAAAATTCAAGATCTTTTAACAATGCTAAAAGGAGCTATTGTGTGCCTCACACCACTGTGAGTTATACCATAAATATTCATTAAAACAGAAGTCTGGAAGCATATGCTGCTTTTACAAATAATGAGGCAGAAAGCAATCAGAGGGCTGCTTAGATGAGGTCACAGGGAGCATACTGCACTGAGGAGGCAGAGGAGACAGGTCTTCCAAGGTATCCTAAGGAAGTAAGTATTAACCCCTTATTAGATGTGTGGCTTACAAAATTTTTCTCCCATTCTGTAGGGTGCCTCTTCATTTTCTGATCCTTTTCTTTGCTGTGCAGAAACTGTTTAGTTTGATATAATACCAGTTGTTTATTTTTCGCTTTTGTTGCCTGTGCTATTGGTGCCGTATTTTAAAAAAAGCATTTCTGGGACCAATATCAAGGGTATTTTCCCCATGTTTACTTCCAGAAGTTTTATGATTTCAGATTTTACATTTAAGTCTGTAATACATTTTGAGTTGATTTTTGTGTATGGTGTAAGTAAAAGGCCTAATTTCATTCTTTTACAGGTGGATGTGCACTTTTCCTGGCACCATTTATTAAGAGACTATCTTCTCCTATTTTGTATTCTTGACACTCTTTTTTGAAAATTAGTTGACTGTATCTACTGGGGCTTATTTCAGGGTTCTCCTTTCTATTCCATTAGTCTATGTGTCAGTTTTTATACTAGTAGCTTACAGTTTTGATTACTATACCTTTGTAGTATATTTTGAAATCAGGTAGTGTGATGCTTTCATCTTTATTCTTCTTGCTGAAGACTGCTTTGGTTGTTCAGAGTCTTTTATGGTCAATATTAATTTTAATTTTTTTCTACTCCTGTAAAAAATGCCATTGGAATTTTGATGACAATTTCATTCAATCTGTGGATTGCTTTGGGTAGTATGGACATTTTAACAATATGGAATCTTCCAATTCATTAACATGGGATATCTTTCCATTTATTTGTGTCTGATTTATTTTTTTCATCAATGCTTTAAAATCCAAAATATACAAGAAACTCATATAATTGAACAGCAAAATATGCCCACACACACATCACACACACACACACAAACATTAAATCACTCAATTAAAAAATGGACTAGGGACCTGAACAGACATTTCTCAAAAGATGATGTAAAATGGCCAACAAATATAGAAAGAAATGCTCAACATTACTAATCATTAGGGAAATACAAATCAAAACCATAACGAGATATCACCTCATACATGCTAGGATGGCTATTACTAAAAAAATAAAAGATAATAAGTGTTGATGAAGATGTGGAGAAAAGAGAAACTTTGTACACTGTTGGTAGGAATGTAAATTGGTTCAGTCATTATGGAAAATAGAATGGAGGTTCCTCAAAAAATTAAACATAGAGCTATCGTATGATCCAGCAGTCTCATTTCTGGGTATATGTACAAAGAAATTAAAGTTAGGATATTGAAGATGTATATGCACGTTCCTGTTCATTGCAGCACTACTCACAATAGCTAAGATATCAAAATAACCTAAATATCCACTGATGGCTAAATGGATAAAGAAGTCATGGTATAAACACACAATGAAATATTAACTGACCTTGAAGTAGAAGAAAATTCTATCATTTACTACAACATGGGTGAACCTGGAGGGCATTATGTAAAATAATGTCAGACAAAAACAGATATATAAACTCATATATAGAAACTAAAATAGTCAAATTCATAGAGGCAGAGAGTAGAATACCATTGTCAGTGGCTGGGGAGAGGAGAATGTGGGGAAGTAATGGTTAAAGGATATAAAGGTTCAGTTATGCAGGATATAAATTCTGGAGGTCTAGTATACAGTAAAGTGTCTATAGCTAACAATATTGTATTGCATACTTAAAATACGCTAAGAGGGTCTTATGTTAAAGTGTTCTTACCACAAAAACAAACAACAAAAACAATAATTATAATAAAGCAGGCAAGAGGAAACTTGTGGAGGTAATGGATATACTTATGCCCTAATGATGGTAATGATTTCACAGGCAAATATTTATCTCCAAACTTTTCCAGATGTATACATTACATATGTACAGCTTTTTATATGTCACTCATATATAAATAAAGTGGTTTAAAAAAGGAATGGGGAGTGAAAATGTAAAGGAGCCATATTTCTTGAGTTTTTCTATATGAGATGTGCACCTAATAGGTACTCAAGGAATGTTAATCACAGTCCTGTTACATTAAAAAAAAAAACTAAAGCATACACTGATTAATTAATCATCGGCACCGACCATCAAACCACTCCACATAAAAAGAGATGGCATTTAGTTCTTGCCTACCCTATATGTGCTTAGCAATGTTTTTTGGGTTATTTCACATTTTAAACTCATTTGTGATTATCGTAACCCCAAAAGTCATATAATTTTTCTTATTTTATAGATAAGAAAGGCAATGCAGAATGACTTGCCCAAGGCCATAAGACTAATAAAAAGGGCCAACATTTGAATGTCTGTGAGCTCCCAACTCGATGTTCTTTTAGTTATATTACAGTATAGAGAATGCAAAATGTAATATATTTTATAGTAGTTCACATTAACTTAATTGATGTTCAAAATAATTCTTTTTGATAGGGAGGATAAGTGTTATGATCTCTAATTGTAGATGAGCAAATTGAACCTTATTCCTATTTCAAAATCGTTACTTTTTTTTATAGATATTATTAAGCTTTAAACTAGAAGAAGAGAGGCTGGACAGAATTTCCAAGTCCCATTTCTTCTGGTTCCCAGTAGCTGAGGTCAACTCCTGGCCTCACCAGTTTTTAGCAGTGTAAATATGTAAGTGACTTACCTGTATCTAATTTCTTTTATCTACAAAATGGGAATAATAAAGCTGCCTACCTCACAGTGCGAATGTAAAAACTAAAAGAGATTATACACATAAAGAGCCTAGAAGAGGAAACTATACATAATAAAAGCTTGGTAAGTGTTAGTTACAGCTACTATTATTCTTTGATTCTGCAACATTCATTGAAGACCTACTGTATGCAAGATGGCACATTAGTTAGCATTGGGGAATTCAGAAAATATTGAGCACTAATATGTGCTAGGCACTCTTTCAGGTGCTTGGGTTATATTAGTAAACAGACAAAGGTGACATCATTATTGTCCTTACTGAACACCTTACAGTACAACTCATATAGTAATACTGGAGTCTTGTCTAACTAATCCTCAATTGGTTGTCACTGCCAAACCCTTCCCTAACCCTTTTATCATTCTTTCACTCGTTCTAAGTGTGCCAGGTCTCCAAGCAAGGGCAGATCCACAGATGGTGTTAAATATACATACATACACTCTCTCTCTCTCTTTCAATATTTAATCTACACAGGTACTGAGTTAATAAGCTCATGCATAACCTCCCAATTAATCCTCATAACAGCCATGTGAAATGCATTCTTTTATAATGCTCACTTAACAGATGAGAAAAACCAGTCTCAGAGAGGCTAAGTAACTTGTCTGAAGTCATATAGCCAGTGAGTAACCTGTCTGTCACTGGAAATAAGTCATCTGACTCCAGGCCTTTTCAGATGACCCTCTGTATTTACTTTCTTGTTCTGGTCAGGCACTCCTGTCAGTATTCCATCCATGCTTTTTTCTTTGGAAACAGTAATCCTTCAGGGAATGAAAGCGTAACTCTATCTTTTCAAAGGTAAGAGAACCCTCTTGGGAAGTGAAAGCTCAATCATCAGCTAAAGACAAAAAAAAACAAAAACAAAAACTAAGAAGTCAAAGAGCCACGATTTGAATCCAGATTTGACACAAAATGTTTTCACATGTATTTTCCTCTCAGGAAAATATTAGATATTTGCCAGGCAAACATTCAATGGAAACATATTCACAAAGAGCATGAAAAAATATGCCCAGAAGTATGAAATAGCATGGAATATTAGATGGTATTTTAGCATGGACTATGTGGGGACATTCTAGTGCATTCTTTCTTATCTGGCAGTGTCCATTAAAATTACCTGTGTATATGTTTCAAAATAGAGACTCTAAGTGCCCACCTCAATTTACTGCATCAGGATTTAAGTGTGTGTATTTTGAAAAAAAATCTTCCAAATGAATCTGATACATACTTTCTTCAGAGCCAATTATTTGAGTTTTCTAATAGAATTTAAATTGTGGAATAGGCACAAGAATTAGAACTCATTGTGGAATAGCAAAGTAAACACAGACATTAAATACAAAGATTTATAAACATTTCTGCTTTGAAATGATGCTGTTACATTTCCATGTGTAGTACATATCCTATAGTAAATTCATCTAGAGCTGTAAAGCTTCTATTATGGAGAGATTCCACTAGTACATAGAGTTTTACATTTTTTTATTTGATTAAGTTCTGCAATCATTGTGTGTGTGTGTGTGTGTGTGTGTGTGTGTAGTTTACAGGCTCATTTTACCTTAGAAATTGTATAGTAGTTTGGAAATGAGAGTCAGATATATGAATATACCCCACATAAACCTTCTAACCGAATTATTCTCCCTACCTATGAATCTTCTCCTTTCTTGTCTTTCCCTTTAGTACTATTTGGAAAATTAGCCTTCAGCCTTGTATATTCTTCTTTCAAGTATGGTTCTCTAGGAAAGTGGGAGTAAGGAACAAATCAACATGAAAACTGTTTTCAAGTCATTATGTTAGATTGGCTTTAAGAAATGTGGAGAAAGAACGATAGGAATGCATTTTTCATTTCTGGTGTTTTGGGTGTTTAGCATTCTCAAGTTGACAGTGTGAAGAAACTGAAAATAAGGGCCCCTGGCTGATGGAGGTGACATCATTTTAATAGATATTAAATGTCATGTGCAAAAAGTTGACACATCTAATTGAGTTTTCTCTGATATTAATCAAATTAACTGACATGGAAAGTTTCTAAGCCTAATGAACATAGGCTGCTGTCCAAACCAGTTACCACTGAAACACATGCAAAGATGGACAGATCTAATTGTGCTTTATGAGCTTGGTGTTCAGATACTTGAGAAGAAGTTTCAGTTGAAACAAAGATCTGGGGGCTTTGTGTATTGTAGTTCACTACTGACGTGTGTTTTCATGGAATCAGATTGAGTTCATAGACAGTAAGGATTGTGTCTTGTTACACATCCCCACTGTCCAGGGTTCTTAGGGCTCAAGTCTGCTTGTCAAAGAGGAGGCCCTCAGGAAAGGGCTGATGAGGGAACAGAAAAATGGAAATAAATTCCTACCAACATTCTCAGGGTTGGGAGCCCTTTTAGGGCTTACTTTTCTTCAAACTCTTCATTGAAGCTCCCCCTAGAGTGGAAACAATTTCATTTCTTTGTGTTTCCAGCATAAATGCCTGTCCTAGATAACTTTTGCTTGTCCTTGCAGACTCACTCTATCCCTTTCCACTTTGCTCTCCGCCCAGGTGACTGGCCTTTGTTGGCTACCCACCAGTCTCCACTATGCCCTGGTTTCTGGTTAGTTTTGCCCATGGATGCCCCGGCAGGAAATAAGGGAGAGAGAGAGAGAAGTTGTGTTACTTATTCTCAGGCTCTCTTCCTACAGGCCATCTTGGACAGGTCTTATCTTCCCACCAACATTACTGATCCTTCTAAAGGATCTTTACACCAACGCTGCTTTCTCCTGCCTGGTCCCAGTAATGTTTCTCTTCCTCCTTACTCCAGGATTAAGGATAGTAACATCTTGGCTGTCCTTAGCCTGGGATGCTGCACAGTGTTCCTCCCCATAATTTTAAATATTTTCCTTATTAAACTCGCCTTGAATTATCTAATTTTGACATGGCGCTTGTTTCCTGTTGAAAATAGTACTGAAACAAAACAATGATCTGACCTTTTGGCCAAGGCAGGATATGCACTGGAAGGGATGCCCAGGGATGGGCTATTATACCGGTTTCAGAAAGAGAAGCAGATTGCTTAGAGTAGTACAGGACTTGTTTTATTTTTGGAGCCACTTATTTTATTTTATTTTGGGCAACTATGTTGTCTTCTCCAATCTGTGAGCAGCTACTTACAAGTTAAGAACTTTATCTTACGCACTCCAGCCCTACCCCATTCTCTTTCTTCCTCCATTTCTCCCTATCTTTCCACTTCTCCAGCCCCACCTATCCAGATTAGGGCTCAGTTTACACAGGGTGTGACTAGGAGAACAATGAAATGCATCAATAATGCAAACTTGGAGCTAACATGATTAACCATTCCATTCACTTCTATTCTGTGGAGCCCACCCACTCTAGTCCTATAATTAACCTTGTTAATAATACAGCTCTGCATTTTGTGAGGTAGATTTAGGATGGAAAGAAAAAAGGAATGAGTGAATATTGGGGATTAGGTAGAGGTAGTCTGACTTTTAAAAATGTACATGAAACTATCAGCTGGAAAAAGAAGGAACTTAATGATTTTTATGAAAAACTATCCTTCACCAATGGAGAGGTCAATTGATTTATAGAATAAGGTTCATTTTATCAGTGGCCATGACTTGGGCCGCTGAGAGCTGCAACATAATCGCTCCATAAATTCCCTTCACTTTTTAGTTTACAACACACTTTTTATATCCTTTATCTTATCCATTCCAAATTTTAGGTTTGAATTCTTCAGGAGAGGAACTAGGACTCAGAGCCGGGTCTTCTGACTACCTATCTTTCTAGAACTCCCAGGAAGCCCCTCATTCCAAACCACCATGGCTCTAAACATTACATTCAGCTTAACGACTTTGACATACTCTAGAAATAGCTGCTTTTTGGCTGATTGATAAACTTAGTCCTCAACAGGAAGCAACTTGAATTAGTGCCATCATCAAGACATTATGAGAAACGACATATTAACATAGCATCAATACCTCATTTTAAAAAGCTAGTATTTAATAGTCTTGCATTTAAAAAGCTTCACTTACTCATATTCGGTCTTTTTCTTTTCCAGTTATAGAAAGTGAGAAGTTATCTTTGGCAAACTGAAAAATGTGCTCTTTGTGGAGAGGAGTAGAAGGGTTGGGAGAGACAGAGAAACAGAGACAACAGAGACCAGAGTGAAGTGAATTTTATCCTGACAGCCCAAACTAGGTCCCACTGCTGCTGAAACTGCTCTCTGTGGGAAGCACCTACTCCACATTTGAAAACCTTTGGTCGTTTTTAGGGGGTTTAGCCCTCTCAAAGCTAGGACTCTTAGTTTTATTGGTTTACTTATTTGTTGTTTTAGGACAATGAGGATATAGGTAGGGCACAGATGGGACCATATTCTTGCTTCATTGTGTACAAGCTGGTGACGTCCCTGTGACTCAACTTCCTTATTTGTAAAATGAAAATAATAATGCACCTGTCATAGGAATATTGTGAGGATTAAAGAAAACAGCATTTGAAACATTTTAATTCGGTGCCCTGTTTGTTCTGTGTGTTCCAGCTCGTACCTTAAAGTACTCCCACAAGGCCTTGTATATTAACACTCCCTCAATACACACGCAAGGTTCCATCAAGGTGGGTGAGTTGGGGAAACTCTTCCATCATTACCTGTGAACACTGAGGGCCTTCTTTGCACTGGTACCACCCCGGTCTTTACTTAGTTCTTGGCACTTAAACTTGTCTTTTATTGATGAACATACATCTGCGTTTAGAATATGTTCTTGGCATTTCATTTCCCTGGATGGGACCCACAGAGCTCAGTAAGACCAAGGTTTTTACTCTTCCTGCCTCTAGCTGTTTCAGGTCAGCAAATATGACCCCATTGTCAGCCGTTTGAAACCCAATTCTCCATGGCAATTTTATTTTTATGCTGGACCATTCCCTGAAGGTAAGAGAACATTCAGATTTATAATGGATACTTTGTGATGAGTGAATTTGAGAAAAGATTTATATTTTAAATTATGGTGAACCCTTTCTGAATTTACTTGATGCCTGTATCAATAACATTCCCATTCTACTGTCTGTGTGGTCTCTGACCACATACTGCTCCTCAGGGTTTTCTGAGTGTTCAGAGCTCAGAAAACTTACGGTATAATTCTATCATGGAGGAGAGATAGGGCTGCAGCCTTCTAGATATGTAGCTAATCCACCTTAAGATATGTATTTTTTTCACCTTAGCCCAAAGATAAATATAATGCTGTTGGGAGATGGTCTTAGTCCCACTGAAACGTGACTATTAACTGTGTGAGTTTAGTTGAGTTTTTTTAACCCACCCAGGACTCTGTTTCTTTATACATAAGTAGGCAAAATAAAACCTACCTTCTGGTGTCATCATAAAGAATAAATAAGTAATTCATTTGTATAATAAAGTTTATCATACTTCTCACCTATGCCTGACTCTGAGCTCAGTGCCGGAAAAACAAGGATGAATGAAATCTGATTCTAGCCTGGCAGGATCTCAAAATTTGGAGAAGGAGAAAGGCAAATAAGGGGACAATCAAGAGCCCTGGAATTAGTGCTGTAAAGAAGGGAAGAATTGTGTTCTGGAGATCTAACTAACCTAGGTCTAAGCAGATTAGGGAATGCTTCCTGGATGAAAAGCCTTCTGGATGACCCCTGAGACAACATATAGACACATAGAACTTCTTCAGGTATAGGGAGCTGGACTCAGGATGCAATGAACGTGACTCAGGATGAAGACTGTAGTCTCGGCTGGGCACAGTGGCTCAGGCCTGTAATCTAGCACTTTGGGAGGCCAAGGCAGGCGGATCACCTGATGTCAGGAGTTCGAGACCAGCCTGGCCAACACGGTGAAACCCTGTCTCTAGCCAGGTGTGGTGGCGGGTGCCTGTCATCCCAGCTACTCAGGAGGCTGAGACAGGAGAATCGCTTGAACCCAGGAGGTGGAGGTTGCAGTGAGCTGAGATCGCACCACTGCACTGTAGCCTGGGAGACAGAGGAAGACTCCATCTCAAAAGAAAACAAACAAACAAACAAACAAACAAACCACTGTAGTCTCTGGAGGGAGGTAGAGGCTATGAATGCAGCAAATGGCTGACATTTTATCCCATCTCCACCTTGCTCCTCTCATACGCATAGATTCTGGTGTTAGTCCACTAGCCAGGATGGGGATTCATGTGCTACCGGTGTGCCCCTGCACAGTTATTTACCTCTCTAAGCCTTGCTTCCTCAGCTGTAAACGTGGTATAACAGTAATTCCTGCCTCAAGGGCTACCGAGGGGATTTAACAGAAATTGCTAGCATATTAGCTGGCACATGGTAAGTACTCTACTAATGGAACTATTATTTATAATGATCACTAATCTTTCATGAATAATAAGGTTAATAATAAGTAACACTAATATAGTGCTTACTATGTGTCAGGCACTATACTAAGCATTTTACATATATTCATTCATTTAATCTTCACTACAATACTATGAAGTCAGTACTACTATCATCCTCACGTATAGGTGAAGAAGTAATTTCACAAGTCACACAACTAGTAAGAAGTGGAGCCGGGATATGATTCTCAGAAATTTGACTTCAACATCTGTATTCTTAAATACTACCCTAAACCACAATAAGCAAAATAATAAAAGATATATTTAACTAAAAACTTTGGAAGTGGTTTGGGAGGAACACAGAAGAAGTCTTGTTTCAGACTCTTGCTTATAGAAGTGAACAGAAAGAAAAGAAAGAAAACAAGTTCCCTTACTCTGCCAGATGCTCCTGCACAGTTTTGCACATCGGTGTCAACACTCAACCAAAGAATCGCAGTGGCTACCAGATTCCAACTGCTAAACAGCACAAGGGAGTATAGCCTGGAGTTTTCCAGAAATACTTGCAAAGGCTTTGTAGAAAGTGGGAGGCTCTGTGCCAGCAGATTGACAGATACCAATGACACTTAAGCTACCCCAGATACTGTAACCCTACTTGTATCCATGAGTCAATGGTCTGGGCATGCCCTGGTTCTGTGGACACCCTCTTGATTCGCTAGTGTTTCTCTCCTGGGTGAGTGCTCTAAGAGAATACATGCTGAGTGGATCCTTTCATTCGCACCCTCATGTCTTACTGTTTTCTGCCCTAATCAGAAGGGCTGTTTAATAAATACATTTTGAATTACTTAAATTGAAAAAACAAAGTTCAAGTTTATAACTATGAAGTGTTCATAACAAGATAGTATGGGGTCCCTGTTTGATCTTTGAAAAAGCTGTCATGGAATAACTGTCATTTATCATTTGTTCCCAAAATAATTTTATGTAGTTTGGAAATGGCACAAGCCAATTTGCAATGGATGAGGAGTTTGAAACTAATGTTCGTCTTTCAGCCTTTTATTAAGTTGCTTAAAAACCATTCTAATTCCCCACCCCCAACCCCCAAAAAAATCTTTTTTAAAATACTGCTTTCTTCTCTTCAAAACTGAGAGAAATGGTGAAATCACTGGATCTTCTGGAAAGTGGCAAAAGCCAAGTGCTGCGCCTTTCAGACTTGGAGGAAATGGAAGTAACAATTCATTTTGGACAGGACTTGGTGCCGAAACATTTTTGCTCTTGCTAAGTTCTCTCTGATGTATGACTTGATTTTGGCTAGGAAAGTAGTCAAGTGCAGGGAGGAGCTTTACCCTGATGATGAAATTTTGAATGCTACCTTCCTGCCATTCACCCAACAAAAACTTTCCATGTTCCCACTACGTGCAGCCACCATGACCTTTGTACTGTGAATGCAGCAGTGCATGATGCTGACCTGGTCTGGTTCCTATCCTCGTGGAGTTTGCCATCTTATAGACTGTAAGTAAGCCAGTTGATCTCTCTAAAGCTGAACTTTCATTTCCCCAGGAAACGAGTATAACCCTACTTTTTGAGACTGCTTAAAGGACCTAGCACAATCCATGTCCCACTATACGTGAACTCTGTTTCAATCTTCCTTTCCCATGCATTCCTCCACGCCTTTGGCCCTATGTCTGGAAACCTGTTCTTTCCTCTCCAGTACACTAGGTCCTGGTTTGCCTCCATGCTGGGTGCATTTCAGGCACCCAGGCCCTGATTTTAAATCCATCCCTGGGCCTACATTTCTCCTGATCTCAGTTTCTCCCTGTCACCTGCCTCCCCTCAGTTGCCCACTGTGTTCACATGTTCCCCTTTTTCTGACTCACTGTGGGCTCCCAGCTTTAGTTTCTGACAAGCCCCAGTGGCTCTTGCCACCTTGGACCCACACTGTCCCTGGATCCCTCCCTCAATCAGCAGTCTGGACATGAGGGCTGCCATGTTTTTCATCCTCCTCCTTTTGTTGGATGCTGGAATATCTTGAGCCTCAGGTGTCTAACTCTTATGCTTGAGTCTCAGAGGGATCTTAATTCTTCAAGGTGCTTGACTCTAAAATTTTCAGCCCATGGAAGCAAGAAGCACCTGTAGCTATAAGTATTCAGTCCTGAATCATGAGTGATGAGAATCCTAGGAAAAAGTTAAGTGGTTAGTTAGGAAAACCACAGAGTAGCATTGAGGCTCAATGAAACTATTCGGATCTGTGAAATTGCCCAGAAAATTTGAGAGCATAAAGAATTCCAGACCAAATGTGTGGTGTTTAATGTCCTATAGCCAGGGCAGGATCTCAAAGTCCACAACATACTTTATGAGAAAGAGAGAGAGATGCGGTCTCTGCATTAACTTATAAGGGCGGGGTGTGACTTGTTTTAACTCTTCACCCTCTTCAACCTATGTTTTTTCATTCATTCATTCACTGTAAACAAATCTTGTTTTTTTTTTTTTAAGATGGACTCTCGTTTTGTCGCCAGGCTGGAGTGCAGTGGCATGATCTCGGCTCACTGCAACCTCTGCCTCCCAGGTTCAAGCGATTTTCCTGCCTCAGCCTCCTGAATAGCTGGGACTACAGGTGCCCACCACCATGCCCAGCTAATTGTTTTATATTTTTAGTAGAGACAGGGTTTCACTATGTTAGCCAGGATGGTCTCAATCTCCTGACCTCGTGATCCCCCCGCCTTGGCCTTGCAAAGTGCTGGGATTACAGGCATGAGCCACCACACCCAGCCAACAAACTTTTACTCACTTTCTACTCTACTTGCTGTGGCCTAAGCAGGTCTAGTCTTGATCCTCAGAGAGCTTAAATCTCAGTTATAGAAACAGATACTACCCATGTAAACAAAAACGTACACAAGATCGTATCAGTAAGTATGGTAATGCAATGGGACCAGGAGGTGCTATTTTAACTAGGGTGGACGAGTAAGCATTGCTTACTTATTTCCTACCAGGTGCCTAGCATTCGTCTAGAGGAGGGTTTCTCAACCTCAACATCATCGACATTTTGGGCTGGACAATTCATTGTTGCCAGGGCTATCCTGTGCATTGTGGAATACTTATCTATATCCAAGATGCCAAAAAAATTGACAAATGTCCCCTGAATGCTGTGGATGCTAGAGGATTTAGGGCTTTTGTTTGTTTGTTTTTGTGAAAGAGTCTCACTTCGTCTCACAGGCTGGAGTGCATTGGCGTGATCTCAGCTTATGCAACCACCGCTTCCTGGGTTCAAGTGATTCTCCTGCCTCAGCCTTCCGAGTAGCTGGGATGACAGGGATGCCCCACCATGCCTGGCTAATTTTTGTATTTGTAGTGGAGGCAGGGTTTCACCATGCTGGCCAGGCTGGTCTCTCCTGACCTCAGGTGATCCACCCACCTTGGCCTCCCAAAGTGCTTGGATTACAGGTGTAAGCCACTATGCCCAACCTGAGGCTATCTTTTTTTTTCTTTATGTCATTCCAAACATGAAACACCAAATGCAGAATGATAATGTCCTTTTGTTTCAATCATCATAATAATGAAATTCCACTGAATCTGCTCTCAGAAGAGAAAAAGCTAAAAAACTAACCTATAATATAGCAGACAGAAGGCAGATTTGGATCCCCACTCTTATTTATCAGAAAGAAGGCAGAACAGAATAATTCGATGACAATGGGCTTCAGACAAGGGGAGAGAATGACAACTTCCCTCACAAACTGTGTGACTTTTAGTAAGTTCCTAAGCTTTTATGCTTCTCAGTTTTCTCATTTGTAAATAAGTCTTATAATGTTCACCTCACAGGTCAGAACTGCAGAAACCTTTGCCATGAGACTTAAATAATATGACATATGTAAATTACCTGGATCATAGTAGGAGCTCAACACGTAATAGTTTTCGTAATGGCTATTGTCACTTTGATCAATAACTTGGGGCTTATATTTAAATCTGTTCTGTAGTTTGAGTTCAGTCTGAGAGCTATTGGATTTCTGGAATTATTAAAATGAAGTTCTTTAATTGTTTTCATTTAAAATGTAAAGTTTCTTTTTTTCTCAGCTAGCTTAAAGTCTCCTATAATTGTTAGAACCCAAAACTTGTGGGGAAAGGACTCAATTTTTTCCCACCTCTGTTTATTGTGGGCACAAATGGCTTTTTGGAACCTGTGGCTCAGGGAACACTACTGGTTCACATCAGAGGCTGAGCTGGGTGGATTCCAGTGAAGTAAACTGACCTCAGGGAGCTGTCTGCAACGTTGGACTTTCTGTCTAAGCAGAGTGAAGTGAAATGCAAGTATAGCGTTAGGGAGTAGTCCTGGGTTTAGCCCAGAAAGCCCTAGGCTCAGATCCTGACACTGCTGCTTACTCCCCAGGGGGCACTGTGCAAGTCACTTTACCCCCAGGTCTCAGTGTTCTTGTCAGTAGAATGGGGATGATGATAATGAGTCTCAGGTCTTGAACTTGATAAAATGCAGTAACTAATATAACAGTGCTCCTGGAATATTTCATACCTTCATTAGCTGTAGTGCCTCTGGGACTTTATTGTATAAAAATATCTTATAAACCAAAGCATGAGTGAAAGGAAATCATATAGAACACGGAAAATCATCGTCAAACTCTGATGACCTTGGTTCCAGTCTAAGAATTCAGTTGACTCTCAAGAAGGGGTCTGGAGGAAGAGAGGTAGCCCAGTTGGCAGAAGAAATATTACATATTTGATAAAAATCACTCCTTACAGAGCCTATATAAAATGTAAAAAAAAAAAAAAAATTTAAGCTAGAATCCTAGCAATGCCTCGAGTGTCCTTATATATTACCCATCTTTTAAATTTGTAAATGCTTTTAACTGTGGAGCTTTTGACCTGCAACACACTTTTACTTGAAACCTCCACGTGTAAATGTGAGACCAAGGCAAAGGATGGGAGGAGCCAATCAGTCAAAGAAAAGAGGATCCAGGCAATTGGTGGGTTAAGTCAAAGGCTAGGCACAGGCTAATAACTGCTCTGTCCTCACAACTAATTTCTATGTACCAGGCTGCCTCCTATGGTCTTAAAATGTGTGATTTTGCATCTCAGGGGGATTAATTCTCACTAAAATACTTTTGCGAGTAGCAAATACTACCATTATCATCTTTGCAGAAGAACAGTAGATTGGAGAGAGTCTTAAGTGAATTCTTTTTACATGCCTTACTTCACTTCACCATATCTCACTTTGTGTAAGCAGGAGAAAGCCTTCTCAATTTCTTGAAGTAGCCTCTTCATGTACTAATACCCCTCCCATTCACCAAGGCGCTTGAGCTTTGAGAAAAGGAAAAAAAAAAATCAATAGAACTGCTTTCTCACACCCATCTCCTCCGTTAACCATCTTTCTCCACTTGAATATTTGTCTATGAGACCCAGAGATGTTTTTCTCAGTAAAGTACCCAGCAATGATCCCTCAAACAAAGCCTAAGCATTTGCTAACTCCCATCACACTTCAGGGAAGAGCAAGTATTTCCTCTTCCCTGAATTCTGAATGCTGTTGGAAAATGCTTCCTAAATAAGTGTGAATAAGATAATTACCTACTTCCATTTTGAAAAAGGCTTTATGGCAGGTAGAGTTAGTCAGACAGAGCTCTCACATTTAATAATAGCTGTGTAAATATTGTTTCCTCCTGTTTGGACGGAATAACAAATAATTTCCAGTTTTTAGATAAATGCTATCAAGAGGATGTTAATTGGCATGAGAATGTCTTATCATTTACTACCCTGATAGTAAACTTTTAAAAATAGCCTATTCAAGCATGAATCATTTCAAGAAGAAAAGAGTCCCCCTAAGGGTGCCATTCTGAATTTGGGGTTTCCGGAAACTGAGATGTAGGCCAGATACTCACAGACAAGAAGAGATATCACATTTGTGAAGATAATGATACTGTCTGATCCCCGTCTAACTTTCCTCCTTCTCTGAATCAGGGTGACATCTCTCTGCTGCCTTTCTAATCCTGCCTCAGCAGAGACTGCCAGCTGAGCTGTAATTCAAAGTTGTCCCAGAGGTGAGGGTGGGCTGCAAACCTGGCTATCCAATTGAAGAATTGTGCAATTTCTTTCTTTGAACTCTTGATTCTTTGTTAAAGGAAGGGGTTTAGAATACTTTTCTGCATCATTCCCTTGATTCTTTTCCCCTGTAACTCCTGGCTGAATCTATATTTCAGAGCGTCATAATGTCACAGTGAAATCTAATCCACCTCCTCCTGTTAATGACAGGAAAAGTGAGGCCAATTTCAGGTGTATGTCTTGTACCTGGTCAGACAGTCAGTTAGTGGTGAGAGCAGGAATGAAAGTTGGTCTTGACCTTCTCTGTCCAGTGCTCCTTTAGCTAGAGTGCATGGCTTCCCTGTGGTCTCTTCATTCTCTGGGATGCTCATAAATAACCTCTCATATTCTCTGGCTTACTACAGAGAAGTGAGTCTTGCAGTGAGGCTGAGATCCATGGCCATTACCCCTGTACCCCACAACAAACACTAATGTGAGTAAGTATCCAGCAGACAGTCATAGTGGCTAGTCTAGACAATTATTCCACTTTTAAAAAATATATTATGGGTTCCAGAAATAAAATACATTTATATTCTCTTATCAGTTGAACTATTTAGAAACAATAGTAAGTTTCTCATTTGATATACTAGATGACTCAAATGGCCTCTACACCAAAAAGGTTTCAATTATATATACCTGTTTTGCTCCAACCCTGATTGGAAATACGTCAGTTTTCCTGTTTGTTTGGTTGCTCATTTGTTTGTTTGCTCGTTTTATTTTGTTTTATTCCAGACATGCCTGTCTGGAACACAGCAGGGCCTAATGAATATTTCAAGAGTCAATCAATCAATGGATGACATATATGGCAATCTTTGCAATGTGCATGAGCCCGAGATGGCAAAGAAAATAGATAAGGAGGGGATAGTTAATTGAAATTGGAAATGCAAGAAGGGGAGTAACAGTTTATATTGGAAAGATAATATAGCTGGGAGTTAAGCAATGAGGTTCTAGATTCCAATTGCATTGCCTCAAATTCTGGTCTAACTCACTCTTAGTTATGTGAACTTGTGAAAGTCATTTAATACCATTGAGCTTGTTTACTCATCTGGAAAAGGCAGATAATCATATCTTATAGGGTTGCGTGAAGATTTAAACAAAATGACACGTGGAAAACACTTATTACAGTGCCAGACACATAGTGCCAATATATATATATATAATCACTTATTAGTCATTATTAATCAAAATCAGCAGAAAATATCTCAATTTTGTTTTCCTTCTTCCCAAACAACCCAAAAACTAATGACCTTGCTTAGAGCAAGACCTAACAAAGATAATTTTGGAGGATGGGGGTAAGTCACACATAGATGAAGGGCACGTGGGTATGTGTGTGCATATAGAAGGATGGTTGCTGAATGACTGTTTATATTAATAACTACAGTCCAGTGCACTCATATATATTATGCCATTTGAGAAAAGAAGGGTTAATCTCCCTATTTTAAAGAAGCAAATACCAAAGCTCAATTTTACATGGGCAGTGTGGGCTGGAATAGAAATTTTATGCAGTGTCTGCATGTCTCCATAATCCTGCACTCTATTCACTGTCTTCTCAGACATAAGGGAAGGAGAAGAGATGAGGCATGGGTGTGGTGTGGCTCAAAGATGGGAATAAAGGAAACTGAGGAAAAAGGACATGGAGAGACCGTATGTTCTCAGGAAGTGGGAGAAAGCCATTTTTTTTTTTCCAGAGTGCAAAATAAACGATCAACTGGTCAGGGATGTTTACAAAGGAAAGTTGTTGGAATTTAGAATAGCTGTGGGAGACAGGGGATGGACAGTGTTGTCTGGAACTTTCTTTGGGATCTCTTCAGAGACATTTTCTTTTCTTTTTTTTTCTGAAATAAACCCACTTCTCATGAGAAGGGCACATTTCCCAATAGTGCTCCCCCATGTCATTCTAAGTGGAGTAAGTGAAAGGCCCTGGCTTAGTAGTGGGTGAGCTAGCTCTCTAGTTCTCAGAGCCAGAAGGGCCAGATGTTTTCACAACATCCTAGGACAAGCTGTTGTTTTGTGATCTTGGCCTCTTGACTGTGGGACTTTTATCCACAAGTCGGTATTTCTTTCCCATTGGACCAAAAATACAAATACTACATTCTTGGGTAAAAACAACAGCAACAGACACTGGGGCCTATTGGAGTAGGGAAGGAGGGTGGGGGACAAGGTTCAAAAACTAACTATTGGGTATTACACTTGGTACCCGGGTGATGAGATCAATTGTGTCCCAAACCTCAGCATCATGCAACATACCCATTTAGCAAAACTGCACACGTACCCCCTGCATCTGAAATACAATTTGAAATTATTTAAAAAAACTACTACATGCTTGAGGCAAGACTGAAAATAATGGCCTACTTTAATTCATTTTTTCTAAGTCTATTAATTTTTCCTCTACTAAATTTAAAGCTACCTCAGAAAGTCCTATTATTTAAGTTTTGGCTACTTAATACTTAATAATACTTATTAAGTATTAAGAATGGCATGGAAAAGTACTGCGAGGGCCTTAAAGAACCTCCCTGACTCCAGACTTTCCTACACTACTGTATGTGGCAGAGTGATCTTTTCTAAAATACAAAGGTGACTTGCCATATTTCTCCCCTCTTTTTGTGGCTCTCCATTGGCCACTGGTAAAAGTCCAGACTCCTACACAAGAAACATAAGGCCCTTTTAATCCTGAAACGTCTAGCTGTTGATCCGTCCTGCCATACCTCTGGCCCTTTCTACTCCCCTATGTCCCCACTCTATCCTCATCCACACCCAAGGGCATGCACTGTTCTCAGGAAAGGCTTCCATGGCCATGTACTGTGGAGGATACTTCCTCTCCCCTCATCTGCTGGGCAAGCTTTGCTGCAGCCCTCAAGCCTCCTTTCAAACACGGCCCCCTCAGAAGATTCCCTTGACTTCTCCTCTAAAAAATCATTGCATTATGTATACATCATCACGCTGGCAAGATCTTCATGAACATCACCTTTACCTGCTTGCATTTCTGTTTCCTCTAAAAAATCATTGCATTATGTATACATCACCACGCTGGCAAGATCTTCATGAACATCACCTTTACCTGCTCGCATTTCTGTTTCCCCTACTGGGCTGTGAACTACAGAAAGTAGGATGTTTTTATCTATTGATACATTTATTTTGTGCTACCAGCCTTAGGATAGTGTCTAGAATTAAAAAAAAAAAAAGGCATCCATTAACTCTTCAAAGATGAGTGGAAGGGAGGGAGGGAGGGAGGCAAGGAGCATAAGAAAAAGGAAGGAGAGAAGTAAGGAATAGACAGATGAGTGAGAGGCAGATTTTCAGAAGCACCCAGGGCCTCTGTGTCAGGCAGCGTTCTAGGGGCACTAGAATGATGTCTCCTTCAGTCCTGACAATAACCCTGCAAGGTGTTTGTTGTTATTTCTCATCTCAGATGAAGAAATGGATGCTCACATTGGTGGAGTACATTACCCATTGCCATGATTGGAAACTTCAGAGTGGGAATTAGCACCAAAATCTATCTGGATCTGAGGGGTTACTTAGTCCTAATGATCCAACTGGTCTCTCAGATTCATTCTCCTTTCCCAGATTTCACCACCCAGTCCCTATTTGATCAGAATTTGTTCTCACAGGACTCTGAAACCAACAAAATTATTCTCCTTACCACACTGTTAACACTGTAACTTGAATATTTATAGTTGTAATAAAAAAAACAGGCTTTACTCTCCTCTTGTTAACAATGATAACAACAAAAGCTAAGAAAAACTGAGCACTGGGATGGCTGATTTATGTGTCAATGTGGCTGGGCCATGGTGCACAGATATTTGGTCAAATATTCTTCTAGATGTTTTTCAAAAGCGTTCTTCACATGAAATTAACATTTAAACCAGTGAACTTTGAATAAAGTTTCTTTTTAATGTGGGTGGCTACATCTAATCAATTGAAGTCCTGATTAGAATAAAGACTAACTTCCCTCAAACAATAAATTCTGCTAACAGACTGCCTTTACTCTCTGCTTGTACCTCTTCCCTGGGTTTCCAGGCTGCCAGCCTATCTACAGATTTTGGACTTGTGCCTTCACAATTTCCACAATTGTGTGAGCAAACACCTTACAATAAATCTCTCTCTCTCTCCCTGTTTCTCTTCCTCTCTCTCTGTACACACACACACACACACACACACACACACACACACACACACACACACACACCGTTGGTTCTGTTTCTCTGAAGCACCTACTGCATTCCAGAAGCTGTGCAATGGATTTTTGGTTTGTTTGTTTGTTTTGAGATGGAGTTTCGCTCTTGTTGCCCAGGCTGCAGTGAAATGGCACCATCTTGGCTCACCGCAACCTCCGCCTCCCGGATGCAAGCAATTCTCCTGCCTCAGCCTCCCAAGTAGCTGCGATTACAGGCGTGTGCCACCATGCCCAGCTCATTTTGTATTTTAGTAGAGACGGGGTTTCTGCATGTTGGTCAGGCTGGTCTTGAACTCCCGACCTCAGGTGATCTGCCCGCCTCGGCCTCCCAAAGTGCTGGGATTACAGGCGTGAGCCACCACACTCAGCTTTAATGTACCGGTGAATCACTTGCACCTTGTTAAAATAAAGGTTCTGATTCAGTGTGTCTGGGGTGGGGCCTAAGGGTCTTCATTTCCTGCAAGCTCCTAGGTGACCCTGCAACTGCTTAGGGGACCCTACTTTGGGTTTAGAGCACTGTGGGAACAGATGACCTGAGTTCACCCCTGACATCGATAAAGTTAACTTCGTTTTGCTTCAGAACCCACTTCTATAAAACCAAAATGGCAAGAGTACCCATCTTATCTAGCACTGTCCCAGGGCTGTTGTGAAGATGAAATGATAGGGTATGTGTAAAGCCCTCAGAACAGCCTCCAGCACAATGAGAAAAATCTATTATTATTTTCTATTATTATTGTTGTCTTAAACAACCAAGTGGTTCTTCTCGATGGGATGTTGAGGTAAAGGGGTGGTATAATTTTGTCCCCCAGGGGACATTTGGCAATGTCTAGACATTTTTTGTTATCTCCATTGGTTGGTAGAGGGTGCTATTGGTATCTAGTGAGGCCAAGGACACTGCTATACATCCTACAATGCAAAGAATACCCCCTACAACAAGTAATTATCTGCCCCAAAATATCAATTGTACCTGCAATAACCCTAGAAGTTAGGGATTATCACTCCCAGTTTCCACATGAAGGTACAGATCCAGATATATGGCCTAGTGCACACATTTGGTAACATGGGACCATTTTATGTGAAAATGCAGACCCAAGGTAGATGCTATTGGAGCCTCCTGAGGCAGTGCATACGAGGGCAACACACTTGTACCTTCATGCGGTCGGACTTTCTTTTTAACTTCTAGAGCTGTAAGCAAGCTTTGAGCCAGTGTTGTTCTTGAATTTTAATCAGAAGCAAAGTCCCAGAGGAGGCCATTCAGTCGTGAACTATCCTGCACAGAACCAGTAGAGTCACACAGCACTTGTGGCCTTCAAATCCCCTCCGACAAAGCTAAGACGATTATTGTTTTTTGAGAAAATGGAAATCCATATGGATTAGTGTATGGTCTTCAATGCGTGTTTCAACCCTCGCACAAATTAACAACGGGAGTTTATTTTTACTATTTTTTTGATCACAGCATAGTACACATAACACCCTCTGGAACCAACTTTTCCTTTCTCTTTTTATTTTATAAATACTTCTAAAGTGTCACTATCTCTCTGAAAAAGTTAGGTGGTTAGAAAATTTATACAGACAAAAACCAGAATTTCTCAGACAGTTCACTCAGTTCAAACTAGCCAGCCAACCAAACAAAAACATAAATAGAAATGAATGTGTAACATAATAACATCCAGTGAAATTTTTTTTAGCATAATGAAGGAGGTTGGGCTTTTTGTTAAGGCACGTTTGGCTCTACCACTAGCAGACTGTGTGACTTCCTCTTCAGAGCCAAGCATTGCTTTGTATCAATATAAAATATCAACCAATGCTAGAACTGTCATGGTAAACTGTGGAGGAAAGGGGCAAAAGATAAGTGAGCGTGCTAGAATATATTTACTACCTAAGATGGGAAAACTTTCCATCTAGTTATGTTCCTCATTTACTAAAGTGAAAATGAACACTCTGGTTATGGGGAGACATGAGCATTGTCGAGAAGCTCAGTAACAGCTGTTCTCTGAAGACTTCCCTGATGGTATTAGATGCTGTTACAGAACTGGACTGCCTAGCAAGAATTGATATAATAAAATCACTCAATAGTAGAGGCCACGCGAAGCTTTTAACTTCCAGAAGCAAGTGAGTATATTCCCCCTCATAAGGGGAAGCAAAATCAGAATGGCTGCCAGGGGAGCCTCACCTGTAGAGACCTACAGAGGAGACTTATGGGAAACCACTAGGAGCACTGCTTAATACATACAACCAAGATCAGGAATGAATGAGCAGAAGGCCGAGGACAACTGAACCAATGGGCAGTAATGATGTCTTGCCAAGTTTCTAGATGTGCTCCAGCTCTTGTAACCAGATTCCAAAAACTGAGTAAGACCCTATGTAGAAGGATACTGAAGCATCATGGCAAATAAATGGTGACTCCCAGTCCTTCCCCAAAGGGACTTATAGCCATTTATTGGGAAACTTTATTATTACTACTATTATTAATTCATTTTTTTGAGATAGGATCTCACACTGTCTCAAATTCTGTTTGTAATTCTCCCAAAGTGCTAGGATTACAGGTGTGAACCACTGCACCCAGACTATTGGGTAACTTTAAACTGAGAAAGATGAATACTCAGGTCTTTTTTAAAAAAAAAATTTCTGTGAACTTCTGTAGAGAGGTACCCCACATCTTTTGAGGATACAGGGTCCAAGTTGATGCTGACATCTGGGGTCTCAAACGCTATCATGACTCCTGCTAGAGGAGGGGCATAATGGAGTCAAAAAATAAACAGTGCCCTAATGCGGAGTGATTTTACAGTGGGTCCATGCATCTAGTGGAGTTGTTGGGAGATTGTTCAATAAATGCCAATTTGGTTAAAGGAGTTAATCTTCTGTTTTGTCTAATTTTCCTACTAATTACTGAGAGGAGGATATTTTAAAACTCCAAACACGATTGTGGATTTGTTTATATGCCCCTTTACTTATATAAGTTTTAATGTATTATATTTTGAAGTTCTGTTATTATATGTATGTGTATATATATATAATATATAAATAATAATATATTTATTATTTTATATTTCCTGTTATAGTCACCTTTTATCATTATGAAGTTTTCATTCTTGCCTCTAATGAAACTCTGACTCTTCAATTTGCGGTCTATTTTGTCTAATATTACTAAAGAAACTCTGACTATCTTATGCTTATTGTTTATAGGATACATTTTATTTGGTCTTTTATTTTTAGTCTATTTGCCTTTGTATTTAATGTCTGTCTTTTATAGACGTGATAGAGTTAGTTCTTGCTCTTTTATCCTACCTGACAATCTTTCCTTGGAATGAAGAGTTTAGTGTATTTTCATACAATGTAATTTTCATATGGTTTTATTTGGCCTGCCATTTTCTCCTTTTTTAAAACTTGTCTAATCTATTTATTTTTTTCTTTATTCCTCCTTCCTGCCTTCTTTTTGTATTAATTGAATATTTTTAGTATCCCATTTTAGTTGCTCTATTGGCTTTCTAGCTACATCTCTTTCATATTTTTACTGCTTGCTCTAGGGATTACATATAAATCTTAAACTTATACCAATCTAATTAGTTAACATTTAACATCTTAAGTTAAAATACAAAAAGTTTGCATAAGTGCATTCCCTTTATTTCCCCCATTCCTAGTACAATTATTAGTTTTCTCCCTTTAAACAGTCATATGTACGTTAAGGAATTTAAGAGAGAGAGGGAAGGAAAGAGAGAGAAGTTGGTGTGGAGAGAGGGGATTTGTCTACAGCAAGGGAGTTAGGATGAAGCCATATTGGCACCAGCAGCATTTTATATAGCTAGCCTAGCCCTGGGCACACCCTGGGCCTTCTAACCAACACAGCCTCAATTCTCCTACCTTGTAATTTATCCTTCAGAATGTTTTTCCACTCCTTTTTATTGCCTGTGGGTTATCTGCTCACAGGGATCCTTCTTTGTGCCCAAACGCAATACACCAGCAAAGTCTAAACAAAGCTTGTGCCACACTGAACAAAGGAAGAGGCAAAGGAATGGAAAGGGGAAGTAACTTGCATAATGTCACAGATAGTACGTAGTGAAACCAGGACTTAAACCTAATCTGTCACTAAAACCAATATATATTTAGAATGAGCCAGTAGGTATAATGGTAATAAACACAAGACTATGAGCTCTCCAAGGGCAGGAATTTTTGTATTTTTGTAATGATATGATTCAAGGGGTCTGGAACAATGCTAGTTATATAGTAGGTACTCAATAAATATTCACTAAATTTGGATGATCTTCCATAATACTGTATTAGAGCCATACCATGATACTCACTGCTGCATTCAATGGGTATGATAGTGTGCCACGACTAAGCAATGTTACCTAATAACCTAGCATAAGATCTGGCTTTACCACCTGCGTATTCTAGGACGCCTTAGAGTTTCACATTAATAATAATATATAAGATGTAAATAATAAACCCTACTCTCTAAAAGGATGTGAAGTTATGCTGAAGTATGTGAATGTGGTAGCATGCCACTGACACGATAAAACTTACTTTCACTCTTCTCTAAATCCTTTTCTAGCAACAGGACTGTCATGCACAGGTATGCAGGTTGTATGCACATGACTCCAGGAGATACCTTTTACATTGTAATCTCTGTAAACAGTGACTCTTGAAGTTCAAGGAATCTAAATGGCTTCATACAGCAGTTCTGAATCTAGCATAGTAACTACAGCAACTAGATGACAATGAGAACACGGTCATTTTCAAGTGATCCATTCATCATTCAGTGAATTAACGACCTATAGATCAAGGTGGATTTATTTTACCCTAAAATTTGACCCATTCCAGAAACAGTTTTTAAATGTACCAAGTGCTGATTAAGAGCAATTCAACAAATGCATCATCAAATATATGCCCAAATATATGCCCAGTTCTGTGCTAGGCATCAAAGGGAGAAGAAAACTGAGTTAAAAACATGGTTCACATCCACTCCCCTATAGAAACTTCCACTTTACTGTCCCCCAGAGACTTCCATGTCAACTCATGCATTAGTCACTTCTTCATTCTTATTTTATTTGGCCTCTCAGCAGCACTGAATAGTCTTTATTAAAACTCGTTTTTCCCCCTCTTGAATTCTTTGTTTTTCATCCCACCTTAGAGACGGCTTTTTTTCAGTCTTCCTTTGTTGGCTCCTCCTTCCCTGATGGATTCTAGATGTTGGGAGTAGTCCAGACCTCAGTCCTTGAATATCTTCTCTCTATGCTTTCTCCCTAAGTCAGTGGTTCACAACCTTGGCTGGATATTAGAAACATCCAAGAAGCTTTTAATAACACCAATGTTCAGGCCGCACCTGAGACCAATTACATAAGAATCTCTGAGGGTAGGACTGAAACATTATTATAGTTTCAAAGATTCCCAGGTGTTTCCCATGTGTAGCCAGGCTTGAGAACCATTTCCTGGGTGATCCCATTCATTCCATGGCTTTAAATGCCACCCGTCTGTTGTTGATTTACAAATTGATTATTCCAGCCCTAGAATTCCTAATTCTGACCCCAGCCCTAACTTCTCTCCCTGGCTCGCTTCATACACTCCTGGCTTGTTTCAGGTTTTCCATGTGCACAAGCTTTTCAACTCTGGATAAGAACTCCCTGGACCACACAGATCACCACCTAGGGCTGATTCAGTTTCTCATTGCCATCCACTTCCCACAAGCACATCCCAACCCCCACCAGGAGAGACGTTCAGATAGGTTATTAATATTATAATAGAGGCTTCCTTGTATTACACATCCACCATGTGACTAGTATTGTGTATGTGGTTTTATATATTTTGTTTCATTTAATCCTCATGACAACATTTTGAAGGAAGTATTATACACAAACTCACAGGTGAGAAAACGAGGTCTTAAAAGGGTGAACAAATTTATCCCAAATCACATGACCAATAAAGTGGAAGAACCAGGACTCAAGCCCAGGTCAGTTTTACTCCAAAGTTCATGCATCATCGTTGAGCGTGCTGCTGCTTGAGTCCCTTGACTTTCAACCAAATGAACCACGCTCCCCTCTGAGAACATATTCTTGTTTCCAATATTATGGGACACGAAATCTTTGAGATTCTAGAAAGTTAGGTTCAGGTGAGGCTGGTGAGTTCTTAGAATTCAATTTTCTAATTGTACAGATTAGGATATCAAGGTCTTGAGAAGAAAAGTTACTTTCCCAAGGTCAAACAATTAATTATTGGCCAGGCAAGGATTTAAATTAGGTCTCTTATGAATCCAATGCTCTTCTCAGAACATAATGTCTCCCCACATTAAAATGAAGTGTTTCTAATAATTTATTTTTCTCTTCAACTTGCTCAAGAGTCCTTCATAAAACAGGCTATGTGTTGTTCAGCTGCATAAAATAATTATTTGTTACATTTGTTGCATTCCTTTTACCTTTAATTTCAGTCAACTGAAATGGCCATTGCTCACCAAGCTACTTTAACCACAGAGCCCTTATGAGGCTTGTCTCTGAAGTCTTATTTTCTGTGGTGAATTAATGATGTGTTATTCCCAGAGACTTTATGGTGCTTATCACTATATTAACTCACATCAAAAAAATCACAGGGAGCTATTTTTCAAACCCTGACAAAAACAGCCTAGAGAAATCCTACTGAATTGGGAACTTTGAAATATGAATGCACATATGGATTGCATATTTCTCATAAAGAAAATGTTTTCATTTCACATTAGGTAAAAGCTTTCTTCAAAAAGTTGTCACTTAGTACAGGGAAAGATTCATTCCCTCTCAGACTGGTTTCCAAGAGCAGAAGGAACGGTTGTTCCTTTGCAAACAAGGATTATTAATTGTAGGTCATGATGTGGTGTGCAGTTAGAGAGACCTTGATTTGAATTTCTGATGTGCTGATTACTGGCTCTGATCTGTTACATGTGTGACTTGAATTCTCAGTGCCTCTGTTCTCTATCTGTAAAATGGGACTGAAAATATTGCATCCAAGTTGACAGGACTCTGAAATAATGTGAATGAAATACCTCAGTGTTCCTAGACTATAATAGAGGTTAAATAAATGTCGTTTTTCTTGCCAAAGATTTAATTTGTTCCTATTCTAGCTTAATGGCCCTCAGTCACTTTTGCCAACCATTCTAGGCAAGTTCCAGTCTTCTCCTTTTATGTCACTCATTTACTCATCAAACACTCTTAATTCTGTGCCGGCTATGCCAAACACTGAAAGAAGCTCAGCATCCTATCCTATTCTAGGAGCTTGGCATCCAGTGTGGAGGACAGACTAGGAAATAGGAAATTGTACTAGAATTCACCAAGAGCTCTGATGGGTAAGTACCAGCTATGTACAACCCCAACTACAGTTCTAATTAGTTCTTCTTATTCACAAAGACCTCCCGGAGGAAGTCATATCTAGGCTGAGTGTCCAGTAGGACTCTTCCATCTCTGAGACACCCTGACCCAAGGGGTTCCTACAAAGCTTGCACAAGTGGACAGAGCAGTTCTTATTAAAACTAACAGTTATAATGAAGAGATATTCTTCATATAAGACATAACATTGTGTGTGTTCAAGAAAGTTCTTTTAACTACACAGCATCAGCCGAGGAAGCAGAAAGGAAGGTCTACCTTCCTTATGGAGGGATGTGGGAAGGGAAATTGGAGGCCATGAACTTTTCTTTGGCATCCACAAAGTGTCAGGAACTCTGCTTGGCATTTTCCTCTCTCTCTCTCTTACATTCTTTCTCACTCTTCCTCTTACTTTCTTTCTATGTCACTCTTTTTTTAAAAAAATTCATTCATCATAATAAATGATGAAGGCTGTCTTATCCTCAGTATTACACAGGAAAAACAAGGTGAACTAAGTGCCAGAACGTTCAAGCTATCTTGCTCAAGGCCACACCAGTAAAGGGCTACAGAAGGGATGTGAACACACTCAGGCTGGCTGTCCAAACTTGATCCATCTGCCTAGGCTAAGTTGGGGTGTCAGGGTCTCAGAAAAGCAGGTTGAGTTCAAGGAAGCATGTTACAGAACCCAGAATCCCAAGGGTGAAAGACTCTGTCACCTTTGGCAGGGTTGCACAAACCAATAATTTGCCCAGAGCACACCACAAATTATTCAAGCAGCAAGACTAACTCAGGACTCTGCCTTCTGCTTAGTGATGGGACCTTCACAAAGGGCCAGGCAGGTCATAATTGGCTTAGGAAGAGGTGGGAATTTGGGTAGGCAGGGGAACACCATGTCCCATTTTGGGGATGCTAAGAATCACTGCAGCGGGTCTGGTCTGACATCGCAGGTTCATTAGGGCAACCTTACTCAAATTGGCAGCAAGTCATTGGTGGTAAAAGAGATTAAAAGGGCTCTTCCTTATTTAAAAGGGGAGGATAAAGTTGCTGACTAAGATATGTTGTGGATAATGAGAACAGTGCCTGAAATAAAGAAAAAAATAAATGAAGCTGGGATGGAGAAGGTGACGAGCTGCTGAATCAGCTCTCTGGCAGAAAATGGAATTCGGAGGTTTTCTTTCTGTTTCTGACAAAATGGATGTTCAGGCCTTTCCTTTCCTTTTTTTCTTATTCATCTAAAAGATTCTCTTTAGAAGCAAAGTAAAATGGAAATGCAAACCTGAAAATCCTGACACTAACTCTTTTGACAAGATGGAAGGTAAGGAGAAAGTAATTGCTGATACTGAACATGATCCAGAGAGAAGCACTGTCCTTCTCCCACTAGGAAAAGGAGACATTTTCCCAACTCTGTGCCAAGTATGATCCTAAGATGTCTTAGATTTTTCTGTAAAATGAAAAGGGAGGGGACGAAGGAAGAAACATGTTAATATGCATTGAGTACTAAGCATGGGCCAGCAAGGTACTCAGTAATATAACATATTGTGTCAATTAATCCTTACAAAAGCCCTGCTGGATGTATAGTATTATACCCATTTTAAAGAGAAGAAAAGGTTATCCTTTTCTATCCTATCCTTCATGGGTAAAAAGGTTATCCAAGGTCACCCAGCTAACAAGTAGCAGACCTGGAATCCAGAACCAGGGCAGTCCAGCTCCAAAGTCCAGGCTCCTGTCACTGTGCCTTATCAACAGGGTGCAATCCCTTTCCTCTCTGCCCTCACAAAGCCTTTCAGATAGATGACAATTTAGATAGCAGGTGACCTTCAGTTCTTTATCTGATCCAGAAAGTCAGTAATTTTAGTCTTGCTTGTGATTTATAAAGAAGAAATTTGGAGGAGAGGGAGAATAGTCCTGAAATGGATTTTTGATTGATGTCACCTAAGCTCCGTAAGTTTGAAGCTCTCGCTATTTCTGGAGTCACGAATCTCTATTTCTCCTTCAAACCAAGCCTGAAGATGATGGGTCCTTCTTCATCCATTCATTTACCCATTCAGCCATCCATCTATCTGACAAATATTAGGCATCTGCTGTGTGACTGACCTCATCTTAAGTTGTGGGTAGATGTTCCTTCTCTTGTGGATCCCCCTATAAAGCAGAAGGATCAGAAAAAGGCACACCTCACATTATAATGAAGTATAAAGAGATGAGCTATATATATTATATGATGGAAGATTATAAAAGAGCTGTTGAATCAAAGGAAGAGGTGACTCACACAGTCTGGGGCCATGATAACATGTTGGGAGAAACCTGGGTACAGTGACATTTGATTATAGTTAAAGGACTATCTGGAGTTGGCCAGGCAGGAAAAGAGGTCAGTGGGAGTAGCAGAGACAGACGTACAAAAGAAAAGATGTGGTATGTTATGAGAACTACGAGTGGGTAACGTGGGGAGGGGGGCACATATGAACAGAAGCAGGAGGGGAAGACAGTGGGCACACCAGGGAGGCCCCATGGGGCTTTCTAAGGAGGCTTAACTTTTCTATTTGTGAAGAGGAGCCACCAAGGAATCCAATTTAGGGAATAACCTGTTTAGATTTGTATTTTAGGAAGTTCTCACAAATACAGGCGAAGATGAAAAGCTCAGAAATTAGTTAAGTAGCCAAGTTTTCTAATAAAAATTCTAAGTGACTTTCACATATTTCTTTCTTTCTTTTGACATTTATTTATTAAATACTTATGGCCAGGTACTGAGCTAGACTCAGGGCATAGAAAGGTGAATAAAAACATGTAATTGCTGCCTACATATAACATTGAGTCTAGTTGAAAAAGCAGAAATTATTCAAATAATTATATAAATGACATTGCAGCTGTGACAAGAAATTTAGAGGAGAGTATACAGTCTCAGGAGACCCTGTTAGAGAGTTATTTGTCCTGGTTAATTTCTACGAGCAAGTGACACACGAACTGAGATTTGTGGAAGCAGTGGCAATGAGCCAAGAGCTGTGAGCTGTGAAGAGTGTTCCAGACAGGTTGACAATGTGCAAAAGCCCTGTTGGGGAGGCAGGCGAATGTGGAGAGGGAGGGTGGGGGTGACTACAACCAAGGAGATGAAGAATTCAGGGTGTAGCATGAGGCAGGAGGTCAGGAGCAGATGCTGAGTTTTTGACTCAGGTCTTGAGCTTTTCACTCTGAGCTTGAGCTTCTGAGAATGGGCAATGCAAAGCAAAGCCAAGTCACCCTGGCCATCCCAACCAAAGCCATTCTATATTAGCTTCTATATTAGCTAACAACCAGATGACCTGAAGAAATGTGAGTGAACCCAGACAACATCTGATGAGCCACCCAGCCAAACACAGCCTTAAATGACCAATCTTCAGACTCAGGTGTGAAATAAATGGTTATCGTGTTAAGTCACTAGATTTTAGGGTTGTTTGCTATGTGAGCATATGCAATGGGGAGTATGAAGAAGTGTGAGTGAACAGGCACCCTACAGAATGGGAAAACATTTCTGTAATCTATCCATCTGACAAAGGGCTAATTTCCAGAATCTACAAAGAAACAAATTTGCAAGAAAAAAAACAAACAACCCCATCAAAAAGTGGGTGAAGGATATGAACAGACACTTTTCAAGAGAAGACATTTATGCAGCCAATAAACATATGAAAAAAAGCTCATCATCACTGGTCATTAGAGAAATGCAAGTCAAAACCACAATGAGATACCATCTCACGCCAGTTAGAATGGTGATCATTAAAAAGTAAGGAAACAACAGATGCTGGAGAGGATGTGGAGAAATAGGAACACTTTTACACGGTTGATGGGAGTGTAAATTAGTTCAACCATTGTGGAAGACAGTGTGGGGATTCCTCAAGGATCTAGAACCATAAATATCATTTGACCCAGTAATCCCATTACTGGGTATATACCCAAAGGATTATAAATCATTCTACTATAAAGACACATGCACACATATGTTTATTGCAGCAATATTCACAATAGCAAAGACTTGTAACCAACCCAAATGCCCATCAATGATAGAATGGATAAAGAAAATGTGACATATATACACCATGGAATACTATGCAGTGATAAAAAGGGATGAGTTCATGTCCTTGGCAGGGACATGGATGAAGCTGGAAACCATCATTCTCAGCAAACTAACAGAAGATCAGAAAACCAAACACCGCATGTTCTCACTCATAAGTGGGAGTTGAACAATGAGAACACATGGACACAGGGAGGGGAGCATCACACACCGGGGCCTGTCGGGGGTTGGGGACAAGGGGAGGGATAGCATTAGGAGAATTACCTAATGTAGCTGATGGGTTGATGGGTGCAGCAAAACACCATGGCACATGTATACCTATGTAAAAAACCTGCACGTTCTGCACATGTACCCCAGAATTTAAAGTATCATTAACAACAACAACAACAACAAAAAGGAATGATTCTCAGGTTGCTGGTTTGCACATCTGGATGACTACTGAATTCATTCTCTGAAATCAGATCAAGATTTAAATTACTGAGTAAGATATCCCTATAATAAAGACAGGGAAGAATCAGTTTAATAATGACTGGGAAAACCAGAAGGGTACTTTGCTATGAGGATGAAGATCCACTCTGAAGCACCAGTCCAACCAGTTTATATTGTATATAATTCTTGGGTCATTCTTTTGATCTTGAGTCTAATTGATGTGGATTCAAATTCTATCTCTAACATTCAATTTTTGTGTGACGGTGGAAAGTTGGTTTACTTTCCTGAATTTAAACTGGAAAATAAAAATAATAATATCTATTTGCAAAGTTTTTGTAAGGACTACATAAATGGCAGCTGAAACATGAACCACATCGTCGGGCCTTTATTTCATACCCAAAGCATAGTTGCTGTTACAACTATGCTATACAAATCTTTGTTCAGGCTGTTCTCCATCTGCTTGAATACTTTTTTTTCTTCTACAGGTTCTTTTTATGCTTTAAACTTGGCTCTAGATGCACCAAATCATTGAAGCCCCCCCAAACTATCTTAACACAGCACTGACTCTCACTTTTCTAAAATGTTTGTATCTCTGTATTTTTGCAAACTTTCGTTCATCATATATTTATTAGCACCAACTATGCACTCATCACAAAGGGAAATAATAATAATACACTGCTTTTCCTACTCATAGGTGGCAAACAGCACATGGTCTCATATTTTCATTTAAAATTGAGTATTCATTTTGCTTTTTACAAATTTCCTTGATAAACATAATTTCATTTGATGTTCACAAAAGCCAGGTGGAAAAGCAAAACAAGTGTTAGCATCCTTATCTCCCATTAAAGATCCCTGGATCATGCTCTTCACCCCCTTGTCACTTGGTAGTCAACTTCAGTATAGGCTTATCTGATTTTACTTATTTTGTAATGTATTTTCTTCCCTATTTGCATGGTGGCTCCTGAGCTCAGGGACCAGGACTTCTATATCTCCACATCCCTAGTGTCTAGCTAAATGCCTGGCAAAGGACAGGTATTTAATACATATTTGCTGCATGAATTAGAGTCAGGAAGTTTGAGGGACTTGCTCAAATACACATGATAAATCAACAGCAGATCTGGGGTTAGAATACAGCTTTTCTTTATTTCTCCTGATTCAAGGCTCTCTACTTTACAAGTTGTCGTCTACTAATTTGATATTTCTGTGGTTGGTTTTATAAAACAGAATAAAAATCTCTCAAACAGAAGACAGTATGTTAAGAGCATGGAAATTTCTAACCTAGAAAGTGAAGTGAGTACTTACTTTTAAATGAAAATATGTGACCATGTCCCATTTGCCACCTAAGAGTAGGACAAAGCAGTGTATTATTATTATTAGTCAGGGTTCTCCAGAGAAGCAGAACTAATAGAAGATTACACGTAAATCTCCATGGATACATACATACATATTTGGAGATTTCTAACAGAAATTTGGTTCATGCAATTATGGAAGCCAAGGAGCCCCACAGTCTATTGTCTGCAAAGTCAAGAACCAAGAAAGCAGGTGGTATAATTCAATCTAAATCTAAAGTCCTGAGAGCCAGGGCTTGGGAGTAGGGAGGGGACAATAGTATAAGTCTCAGGCCAGAGTCTGGAGAACCTTGAGCACAGATGTTTGTGGGCAGATGAAGATGGATGCTCCAGCTCAAACACAGAGAACAAATTTGCCTTTTCTCTGCTTTTCTACTCCACTGGGGCCTTCAGTTCATTGGATGATGCCCACGCCCATCAGTGAGGGAGATCTCCTTTATTCAGTCTACCCAATCAAATGCTAATATCTTGCAAAAAACACTCTCACAGACACACTCAGAAATAATGTTTTACCATCTTCCTGGATATACCTTACCCCAATCAAAATGGCAGATAAAATTAACCATCACAGTGAAGTATTCATTCAAACAATCTGTTAATGAGTGAAAGGAGGCAGAGGCCAAGGAAGTGATATTTATGAGCATCTACTCTTCACATCAAACATGCAATATTATTTAATATTCATAGCAACTTTATGAGGTCAGCATTATACCTGTTTACAGATGAGAAAACTGAAGCTCACAGAGGTAAAGTCACTATGTGTGTAGGTAAGTTGTGGGGTTGGCATTATAACCCAAGTTGGTCTAAATTCAGTGCCTGATCACTTTTCATTATACCCTGGAGAAAAAAGACTGTGAACTAAAGAACTCCAGGCTGTGTGGACACACTGATGAACACAGGCATGGGTGAATGCTGTATTTTTTTTTTTTAACTGCCTTTCAGTTGAGACAATGGGCCTGAACATGACAGCTTTTCAAATTCAGAGACTTAGTCTCCTAATCCTCAGACTGTAATTTTCACTCTTGTGGCTTCGTAAATAATGTTTTTTTTTTTCGCCATTTCATAAAATGCCTCTGATTAGGAAGGGATTGATCATTTCCTAAGACTGTTTTGTAAGAAATGCCCAAAGCCACTTGGCGTCCCCTGTTGGTGCTTATTTCTCTGTGTTTTTGATAAAATATAATTGTCTTAAGTCTCTCAGGATTGATTAGATGGAATGTTCAAAAGGAAAGCTGTCTTATTACTGACCCTGCATCCTTTAGTTAATAAGTTTTTTTCTAATTTTACTTCAAAGATGAAAGTTTCTTAATTAACCATCAGAGGTTCTCTGAAGCAAAGTATATTAAAATCATATTATGCCTTCCTGAGGCTCTCCTTGGATTTTTTATTAAGCAAAGCTATTGGAAGTAAAGATATGAGGGTAATTGTATCTATAGATAATAAAGAAAGATATACTTATGAGTTTTCTATTCTAATCAACATGACTGCCACACTGAAAAAGTCAATTATTTTGTAATATTTAAGAATGCTAATAAAAATGAATGTTATTTAGCCAAATCTTGCTAGCTCTGGAAATGAGAAACAAGAATATCGAGGATTAAAAAAAATCACAGCTTAATTCCAAATGCAATTTAGCAAATGTGTGTCGGAGCAACTTGATCTATTTCAACAGTTATTTATTGATTACCTGCCATATGCCAAGCAGTCTTCCTACGTTCTGAGAGATAGGAAAATGAAGACATTGACCCTGTCCTCAGTGAGCTCACAAACTTCATAGGAGAGATTGTTTCTTTGCTTGTAAAACAGGTGAAATTGGACATGCACTGTAATAAAAGTATGTGCAAGGCAATGATGTGCCGGGAAACTGTTCTGAGGTGGAATAGTCTTGTTTGCCAGTTTTCATGGCATAAATATTTCCACAGCAGTTAGCTTCAAGCTGCCAATTTAACAACTCCCAATAATTTGTAAATTGGCTTGCGAAATTCCTGAATATTTAACAACCGGCTCTCATAAGCAGGTATTACCCAGCGTCAACACATCACTGGAAACATGGTAGAAGCACAAATGAAAGCAGCAGTGAATTTTGCCTGGAATGGGGCTACAAGAGGATTCAAAGCCAAAGGAATTGGAGCTAGGCCTTGAGGATGAACAAGATAGTAGGGCAGAGAACAGGGAAGAAGAATGTTCCAGGCAGAGGGAATGTCACATGTAAAAGTAAGAAGGCTGAGAATTCTTTGTGTGCTGGGACATATGTGATCAGACAGAGCTGATTTGGGGACTCTTGAAGCTGAGGGTTACATTGGGGCCAGATTGTTAAAAATCTTGAATGCCACACTAGGAGTTATGACTCCTTTCTATAGTAAATAGGAGTCTCTGGAGGGGGCTCACAAAACCCATTTGAAGAACAACTACAGAAATAACCCAAGCACAGATGGATTCTGCCAAATGGCCAGGCATTCTGCAAACATGGTTATTTTCAAAATGACTGATTTCTTGGCTGAATATTATTGTTTTTCAAAGAATCTGGCTTATTTAAAAGCATGGTCATATGAGGGGGGAGAAAGTGAAGGAAAGAAATACAAAGATAAATTGTAATGCATCTGTATTGTAATTTAGGAGTATTTAAAAATGTATTACATGCTCATTACAAAAAATATAGGTATGAAAAAGAAGAAAATAAGAATTGCCTATCATCCTGTCACCCATATATAGCAGCTGCTATCATTTTGATGTTCATCTTTCTAGTATTTTTATGTATGTTTTTATTATGCATATTTTTTAAATTGAAAATTAGTTTATATTATACATGTTTTATTAAAATGTCTGAAGAACAACACCACAGGTCAATATGTATTTGTCTCTGTCTTCATTCCTAATGATTGTGTAGTATTCTATTGAATGGGGGTTAACTTGTTTCTGAAATCCACCATTTGTGGAAATTAAGGTTGTTTATAATTTTTTACTATCTCAACTGGTGCTCCGAATAAAGACTTCTTTTTACTCTTAGCATACATTTTCTCAGAACAATTAAATAAATGTTAAGTTTTTTTTTTTCATTTTGCTTTTTAAAAACAAATTTCAGGGAAAAAAATAAAATGCCACTTGGGAGTTATTTCACTAATCATCTCATTGTCCTTAGCACTTCCTTAACCTCTAATAGAATTAATTGTTGAGACGTCTATATTATACTTGTGAGACCATGTTCTCACAGGTTTAAGGACACACATAATCTTTCTGTGACGGCAGCTGAACAGTATGTTCTGCTGCTTATCTCTTCTTTTACACCATACTGGTAGCACAGGGTTTTATGTGACAGATACCTGGATAGCCAAATATCCTCCACTAAGAATTAAATTCATATTTGTACTAGTCATGGTGTCACATGTGTGAGAAGATTGTCTTATAGCTATCTATATGGTGTACTCTCTAGAGGTTAAGAACGTAAGAAGCGGTGGTTTACTTAAACTGATAGCCAGTGATTCCTTTAGAAGCATTCCTTCATGGGAAATAACGGTCACATAACACGTTCTTATTAAAATTTTATTTTGTGCCAAGCACAGGGCTTGAGATAATGAAAATTCTTTTTGAGACCAGATTATAGATCACATTGAACTTCAGCTTGGGTATCTGAATTTTATCCTACAGCTTATATTAGTCATGAAAAGGTCTTCAACAGGAAAAACAGTATGTAAATCTAGGCACAAGAGAGAAGTCATCTCTTAGGAATGGCCACTGCTTGAATAATTTGGGAGTGAAAATGCTTTTCTTTACTTCAACTGATATATTGTATTACTGAACTAATGTGGTAAATTTGGGAAATCTCTGTAAGCCTGCTATATACCAGACACTTCACTAGAAAAAAGAAGGGATGGAAAATAAAATAACTGCCTTTCCTGAGAGAAACACATTTGGGAGTCAAGTACATGAGCGTGTAGTCACAAAGCAACACAGTCAGTCCCACGATAAAAAACACATGAAATAAATAGCTATGATAGAGCAGAGCCTGACTGACTCCTTGGAAGTGGTGGCAGAGTAGTCAAGAGCTTCATTCAGTGATGATGCTCTGAATAAAAACTTCTTTTTACACTTAGCATATATTTTGTTAGGACAATTAAATAAATGTAAATATATATATTTTTTACATTTTGCTTGGAGTAGATTTTCATGTATAAATAGAAACTGTTTAGGCAAACAGAAGGGACGGCATTTCAGAGACAGAAAACAGTATGTGCAAAGACAGGTTGACTTGAAACAGTATATACATATTTATCATAATGTGCATTATATATCATCCCCAAACCAGGTTTTATTGTAGATTTGAACCTGAGGAATAATATACATAGGTAAGATCTGTGCCAAAAACTTGGACAGCACCGTGGGAGATAGGTTACAAGATGACAAGACCCCAAACAGGAAAAAAAGCAAATCCAGGTGGAAAGAAAATGGTGGCCGGGATAAAGATAAGAGCAGTGGGGGTAAAGCAGACAAGACAGATATGAGAGGTATTTAGGAGATATAAGTGGAAAGGGCCTGGTGACTAGCTAAATGTAGGGATGGTAGTTGGGTAGTATATGGCTCCCTAATTTCTGGCTGGGCTGGCTTACTGGATGATGGAGATATTAAAAAGGTAGAAAATAGGAGAAGAAGGCCTCATGAGTTCAGCTCTGGGCATAATGCTTTTGAGATGCTGCGAGAAAACCAAGTGAGAATGTCTGGGTAGCAGTGCCTTATATTACTAAGTCTTGCAGAAGATGATTGGGATACTGTGAATTTTGAGATAGTAAAAGGTTAACATTTTTTAATGCTCCAATTTTTTATCAAGGTCACAGCTTGTGTCTTCTACCATGTACAAACCAGAGGCTAAAGGACTTTGCAGTTTCACAGTTGGAATCTGCAGCTTTTCTTATGTGCAGCGGAGACTCGCAGTGTATTTGGAGTAACTGCTGAGAACTCAATGTATGACATCTCCTAATTAAAGACCACCACCAAGTTAGGGATCACTGGAAGCAGGTAAGAGGAAAAGTGCATTTATTACCAAACAAAACCCCATACCAATTCTAGTATTGATTTTTATTGAAGTGGTAGCATTTAATATGATTGGCTTTCATTTTCCTTTTGGAGAATTACAGTTTGCAGAAAAATATCAGTAGTTTTTTTTTTAGCTCAGTTGTTCAGATGTAATAAATTTACATGATAAATTCATTCATTCATTCAATTACCGTTTTGACTGCCCCGTTACCTACTTTTTTTTTAAAGAGAATCAAAGATGAATAAGATTTAGTACCAAGTGAGACATGGTCCTGACTCTCTAGAAACACAGAGCAGATTTCTTTCTTTATAATTACTGGTGTAGCTATCATGATTATAATCAATTAATAAAGATAATAGATATAATTTGTTTATGGTTTTGATGAGTAAACTCTTGGTCTCTTTCATCTCCCAGTAAGAGACACACACTGCTAGGCTAAATTATCTTCTCTTTGGTGTTCAGCCAGGAGTAAATGCAATACAATAAAAGGGTTCCTTCTGACCATATGTACAACCATGCATGGGGACTTGTTTTTATGCAGATTCCCAGACAGGCTCTGGAAATTTGGATTCTTTAGGTCTGAGGTATAAAACTGGCAATTTCCCATTGCTATAATAATCTGCAGGAAATTCTGAAGTACATGGTTTATCAGGCACACTTTGAGAAATCCTGTTGTGTTAGACACAATAAGGTCTGGGAGGTCTAGCTGATCAGAATGCCAATTCCAACTTTATCAGTGGCAAGCAGAGTGATCTTGGGCAAAGTTTTATAATAAGTGTTTAAATCGTCTCAGAAAAAATGACTCTGGGACATTTTTGTAGAACAAAGGGAAATTTTATACGTAAAATAGTTGATATTTAATTAATGCTTATTTTTACTTTTTTCCCCCCTCGTTTTCCTTTTTAAACCCCAATTAGTACTTGTTATGATTGGCTTTCATTTTCCTTTGGAGAACTACAGTTTGCAGGAAAACATCAGTAGCTGTCTTTTTAGCTTGGATGTTCAGATGTGATAAATTTACATGATAAATTCATTCATTTATTCAACTACCTTTTCTGAGTGCTCATTATATTTTGTGCCTCTAATCTATCACTCATCCTTTCTTTCTTTAGAATTCCTGTGTATCCTTTTTATTTCTCACTGGACTCTGCACTTCTTGAGAACAGAAGTTTGTCCTCACTTTATTTCTGTATCTTCAAAACCTGCATGCAGCGTGGGTATACTAAAGTGTTTTCCTACAAAGTTATCCTTATACGTTGATATCTACCTTTATTTTATGCTCTTGTATCAAAATGATTGTTAATTTGTTTATAAGATTCACACTTCCAAAAACTCATTAATGCTTCTTTGTCTTTTTATAGCATAACACATTTGGCAAGGAATAGGATTATGCTTTCTTTAATTCTCTACTTAAGAAAAAGTCCCTGGCCAGGCATGGTGGCTCACACCTGTAATCCCAGCACTTTGGGAGGCCAAAGCAGGAGCATTACTTGAGCCCATGGGTTTGAGATCAGCCTGGGAAGTATAGGGAGATTTCAACTCTACAAAAAATACAAAATTATCCCTGCATGGTGATGCACCAGCTACTAGGGAGGACTGCTTGAGCCTGGGAGGTTGAGGCCGCAGTAAGTTATGACTGTGCCACTGCACTCAGCCTGGGCAACTGAGGGATCTTGCCTCAAAACGAAAAAAAAAAAAAAAAAAGAGAAAGTACCTGATTTAATTCAGGAAATGATAGCATCAAATGCTTATTTTGAAAATTCACACAGACTCATGAATGTGTTGGCCGAGGAATGACTTGGTGACTTAGGTGACAGCATGTAAGTTCGCAAAAGCATTTACTATGTTAGTTTTATTAGTTCAGCGAAAACTTATTGAGCGCACACTGTGTGCCAGACATTGTGTTGGGTGGTGAGGGAATGCAATCAACAAAATAGTTCTTATATTCAAGGAACATAAGGGTTGATAATGAGGGTAAACCAATAAATAGATAAGTTCAACACATTATGGTACATACTATACTAGAAAAAGGCATGGGATGTTTTGAGACTCCTGACTTACCGTACAGGTGAGGGGGAAAGTTTTCTTAAGGGAATTATACCCACATTGAAAGATGGAGGAGTAAAGAGTGGTTCTATCGTCTGCATGTTGGTGTAACTCATCCCCAAGTTCATATGTTAAAATACTAATTTCTAAGGTGATGATATGAGGAGCTGAGGCCTTTGGAAAGTGATGAGGTCATGAAGGCAGACCCATCTTGAGTGGGATTAGGGATAGAGGAGGTCCTTGCCCCTTCTGCCATGTGAAAATGCAGCCAAAAGATGCCATCTATGAACAAGAAAGAAGGGCCTCACCAGACACCAGATCTGCTGGTGCCTTGATCTTGGATTTCCCAGCCTCCAAAACTGTGAGAAATAAATGTCTGTTATTGATATTCCACCTAGTCAATGGTATTTTGTAATAGCAGCCCACACGAACTAACACAAGTGACAAGGCAAAGGAATTAAAATGTGCTCCAGAGAAAAGCAACAGCATGTGTCAAGACAGGAGATGGGCAAGCACTTCATAATCATGATTCACAAGTAGGTGCATCTGGTTGTGAGAGAAGAGGCTGGAGCAAGAAGTGTGGAACCCTGTCATGGACAGACTTATTTTGCTCAGGCTAAGTAATTAGCTTTGTCGTGAGTATAAAGGAAAGCCATTAAAAAATTCTAAGTATAGATGTGACATCATTATTATAACTGTAATTCTAAGTTCATGTTTGTAGTCCATCACAAATGTTGCCTTTACTGGACAGATCGTTTTAAAAAGTATTCATTAAATGTATGTATATTTCCTAAGAAATTTGAGCTTAACTTTCACAATCACTTGAGTTTAATGACTAATAAAAGCTCATAATACTGAATAATTAAATATAATAAAATGTCATCTCAGAGTAGAGGGCTCTGTTTATTTTAAACATAGCACATTATCTTTAAGATCACATTAGGAACTTCTAGTGTAAGAGGCTTCTGACTGGAATTACTTCACTCAGTCTCTCTGAATCATTCAGTTTTATCAGTCAGGATGAGCTAGGTTTTGTTGCAGTAACAACTTCCAACTTACAGTGGTTTTAAAATAAACAAAATATTAATAGTATTCATTCTACAAGTCCATTATGGGGGATTTGTAGGAAAATGGGCTATGCTGATTTCAGTGACTCAAGCCTCCAGATTAATGAAAAAACTATCTTCTAAATTGCTAACCAGTGGATCAAAGGGAAGAGTGCAGCTTTCAACACATCATCTATCCACAGTTGTCATCACTCAAATATAAAGAAGCCAGAAAAATCAAGATTATTATGTACCCTGAAGAGGCAGAGACTGAAAATATTTGACAAACATCATTAATTACTATCACACCAATAAAATAACTACCAAATCCAGAAAAATAAAAAAAAAACACACACACAAGATAAAACCACCACCTAAATTCAAGAATGACCAACATTGTCTTGCTAGAATCTTGGAAAAGATTTTACCACCTAGAAGGCCAATGGTAGTTCTATACATCTTGCGGGTGGGGTGGAAATGGGTGGTTTTTATAGTGTGAGGTTCATAAAAAAATCCCACCTGCCTAAAGTCACCTGAGGCCTCTTCCTCATTCCCACATTGTCTTCCCCTTGGCACATAGCCCCAGGGGCTGTAGCAAATTTAAACACAATAACTGTCCATCTACCTCAAGGTACTTTTGTTTTGTTCATATACTTGCTTTTGTTTTATTAGAGGCAGGGTCTTGCTCTGTCACCCAGGCTAGAGTACAGTAGCACAATCATAGCACACTGTAACCTCAAACTCCTGGGCTCAAGCTATCCTCCCACCTCAGCAGCCCAAGTGGCTAGTTCAACCATAGCAGCCACCATGCCAAGCTAATTAAGATTCTATCTATCTATCTATCTATCTATCTATCTATCTATCTATCTATCTATCTATCTTGAAGGGAGAAGGGGCCTCACTATGGTTGCCCAGGCTGGTCTCCAACTCCTGACCTCAAGCAACCTTCCTGCCTTGGCCTCCCAAAGCACTGAGATTGCAGGTGTGAGCTACTGTGCCCAACCAAACAAGGGTACTTCTTTTTGCAGTGACTAAAGTGTTCTTTCCTCCCACATCCCCAATTGTTCAATATATAATTAGAGGCTGCAATCACAAGAAAAAAAAAAAAAAAAAAAAAAAACAGGGCAAAGAATGTTATGCTATGTGAGATACAAGATAATCTTTTTTTCTTTTTTCGCTTTGGCCTTCCTCTGATGAAATTAAATAACTGGTAGCATTCACTAGTCTCTCAATCCCTTTGTCATGGCCCCAGAATGTGGTCCTGGAATGTATAGCACAAAGGCAAAGCCGTGGCCTTGTGATTTCTGCCTATTCTCCCAGAAACAATTTCTTCTATGTGGCAAAACTGAAGAGAGGACCTTGAAGTGGGGCACTGGGAAGTCTGTGGAAACAGAAGCATACAGATGTGAATCTAAAGCCCAGCTCTACTGCTTACTAGCTGCGTGGACTTGAAAATGCCAACTTCTAGTGCCTCAGTTTCTTCATCTTGTTGAATGAAAATAATAATAGACACACACTGTGAGGTGACTGTGATAACATTCTGTATGTAAAATATATAGAAAGTACCTGTCTAGAATTTTCAGTGGTATTATTCTAATTCACAAGCAGCCAGAAATGTGTTTCCTAAGCTATAGTCTATTAGTATGTGAATTCTGGATAAAAACTAAAATTCTTCCTGTAAAATCACATTTCTTGGTCATCTGTGGAAGCCACATGTTCTGTCTCTGACAACCCTGTGTAAAGGAGGTCTTTGTTGCCCCATGAACTTCATTCCACTTAAGACTATTTCCAGCTACTGCTGCAATGATTAGCAGCTCAAAGACACGAAACTCAAAATAATAAAACAACAACAAAAAGGTATATAGTAATTTTTTTTGTTTTCCTAAGGCATGAAAGTTCAGGGAGCTAATGGCCAATGAGCATGTACCATGTACCATGTCGTTTCTGGGCTTTTCCCTCGCTAGACTGTACATTCCAGAAATTCAGATTTTATGCCTATCTTATAAAGTCAGGAACTAAAAGTGGCACTGGCATGTAATAGGTGAAAAAAAAACCACATTTGAATAAATGTTTTATTGAGTCATCCAGACCCATTTTGGGTATATGCTTGACCTGAAATAGGTGGCAACATTAAATTTTCTGAACTTTGGATTTCTCATCTGCCAAACAAATAAATGAGTTTCAGGACCTGCAAACTGAAATCCTTTGAGTGGCACAGTAATGTTGTAACAAGCATGTAAAGGTATCTGGCATAAAGCAGAAAAAAGTGGTGGCATCTTGGTTAACTGGAGAGTCATGCCAAGGGATTTATATACAACTTTTTGTTTTGACGCAGAGCATACCAAAGACAACCTATCCCCTGAAGACTAACTCATCATGCAGGCTACTTGTTTGTGAACACTGGTAGCGATAATTTAAATTAAGTCCTTTCCTTCACTAACACTGTGGTTGTCTGAGCCAAGGTACTCTTGGAGTATTGTCCACAGCTTGGCTGCTGCCAGCCTTGTTAATGCCTGATTTTTTTTTTTTTTTAATGAGATGCTCAAAAAGATCTGCGTGTAATTCCAGATGACATTGCCACCTTATTTATCCAAGGATGCCTGTCTCACTAGTAACTGATTTTGAATTCCAGATAATACTATTATGTCCAATCCTGGATATTAGGTCAAATGGCTAAACTATTGCTTATTCACTTATGTCCCAGACGTGAGGTATCACTAGATCCAGAAATGAATTATCCCCGGTGGGCTCTCTTTGACACATGGCTCCAGGAACTCATCATTTAGACGTCAATCATTTTCTCCTCCTAGCTCTGATGTCTCACAGGTTTCCTGACAACAATTAGGGGGAATAAAATCACTGATAATCACAATCACACCTGCCTTCCTTATTGGCTCGCAGGCAATTTACTTCACTCAGCTCTTCTATCACATAGCAGATCCTGGTGTTACTTTTCCAACCTTCAATTATAAACATTCAATCTGACAGCTTCCCTGAAGTTATTACTCTGTCTTCTATTTTCTGATATTGATCCCAAATGTTTGAGTAAAAGTCCACAAACTGTAGTCAGCCATTCAGATGTTTAGGCATATCCGGATGCGTAGTGTACATATAGACATGCCTCTGGGTGATGGTTGTGATTCTGTAAGCTTTGAAGTTATATTGAATCAAAACAAAAATTTTCTACTGCCTGACTCTCTTTGTGTATCCAAAACTCATTAACATCTCTGATAACAGAAAGGACCGTCTACACCTGGGCACCCTTCAGCCACTCACAAAACATGACGAGTTTGAAATTTCACGCTTCTTTCTTCCTCCATCGTTTTCTGGAAGAGGACAGGGATAACTTTGAGATTTATTTCACTACTGATATCACTCACCCTACCACTCCTCTTAGAAAGCAAAAAGAGTTGCTCTCAGTATTGTTTGAAACAACAAATTTCTTTCCCAATTACAATAACAACTATTACCACCAATTCCTAAATATATGCAACGTTTTAGGCACTTGGCCAGTGGCTATAGATATTTATGATACTTATTTTTTTTTAATTAAGATGTTTATCTTTTGTCCCCATTTTGTAGATTTCAAAAACCTAACCTGGATGGAAGCTCACTTCCCTAAAATCATGCATGAATGACACACGGAATTTAAATGCAGTTCCGTCTGATTACAAACAAAACTATTAAGAACAGTAACTGCATGGTTTACTTTGCTATATATAGGTCAGGACTTTGGCACACCCTATTTCATTAACCCTTGCAACAACCTGAGTTAGAAATTGTTCTCCCCACTTTGCAGATGAAGTAACTATTATTCACCTGTTTTTATTTTAGTTTCTTCCAAATCTTTGTCTCTGTGAGATTTTCTCAATATTGAGAGTTCTTTCTTAATTTCTCCCAATTTAAGCACTGGTTTTGTTGGTATCTCTTTATATTTTTACTTTATTTATTTATTTATTTGTAGACAGAGTCTTGCTTTGTCACCCAGGCTAGAGTGCAGTGGCACTATCTCAGCTCACTACAACCTCTGCCTCCCTGGTTTAAGCAATTCTCATGCCTCAGCCTCCCAAGTAGCTGGGATTACAGGGTACACCACCACACCCAGCTAACTTTTGTATTTTTTTTTTTTAGCAGGGACAGGGTTTCACCATGTTGGCCATGTTGACCTCTAACTCCTGGTCTCAAGTGATCCACGTACCTCAGCCTCCCAAAGTGCTGGGATTACAGGTGTGAGCCTCTGACCTGGCTTTATATTTTTTAATTTAGTGGGGTATTTAATGCATACAACATATTTCTTGGGGTTATGTGATAAGTTAAAGGGACTAAACCTCTTGCTCATCTTTATGTTTCATATCTTTCCCGATTTAGCGTTCTTATAAATGTCCAGTTTTTGTATAAGAATTTCTCCTTTTTAAGGCTTCTACTTCCCATGTTGTAACAGAAAGGTGTGATAGAAAGAACAGACCGGCCGGGCATGGTGGCTCATACCTGTAATCGCAGCATTTTGGGAGGCTGAGGCAGGTGGATCATGAGGTCAGGAGTCCGATACCAGTCTGGCCGATATGGTGAAACCTGTCTCTACTAAAAATACAAAAAGTAGCTGGGGGTGGTGGCGCACACCTGTAATCCTAGCTACTCAGTAGGCTGAGGCAGGATAATTGCTTGAACTTGGAAGGTGGAGGTTTCAGTAAGCCGAGATCATGCCACTGTACTCTAGCCTGGGCAAATGAGAGAGACTCCTTCTCAAAAAAAGAAAAAAAAGAAAAAAGAACAGACCATTGGGAATCTCAATCCCAGTTCATCTCCTCATTAGGAGATCTAAAAAATATATTGCAATATTTTAAAATTTTAAAAACATATTGCAATATTTATCTTGATTACTGAGTTTTTTGGCAGCCTCTTAAACTTGTCAAGAAAGGTCACACTCACCTCACCCTGGTCCTGATTCTTTACCACATTTCTCTTATCAATTGACAACTATCATGTTGTCACATATGGTCTCATTCAGTCATTCAGAAAACTACATGCAAATCCATATTTCTACATAGTCTGGGCTGTTTGATCTCCTTGTAACCTCGTTATAAATAAGTTCTCACTGTGATGCAGCCTGGGGCAGGTCCAGGAGCCCACACTCGAATAATTAATGAGTGGGAAATGGATGATTTTATGATTCCTGACCTTTCCACTTTAATCCATTAGGGATTATAGATCGGTTAGTAGTTACTGCAACTGGACAAAAGCTGTCTAAGTGGAAAATTGATCGTGGTAAGTGCATGCATGGTGGTTCCACTCATTAATACTTCCCATTTTAGCATTGTGAACTTTCACTCACCGATATCTCAGGTTCATGCCCCAGTGCGCCAAGCTGAAGACGCAAAAGACTTGGCACAAGCTGACAGAGCTGTCTTTTTTACATGTTAATTAAAAGAAATGGCATAAAAATCAGCAGATCAGCACCAGGCTCTAGGAAGCAGCCCCAAAGGCCTTCTCACCCCAAGCTCAATCGGCCTCCTCACCCCCAGGAAGGTTTTGCAGATATTTGCAGACATCAGTGCAGGCTCATTTTCTTTGACTCCATCAGAAGCCCACTTCACTGTAGAGGATATTTCAGCAAGAGAGAACTGTGATGTGGAGGAAAGGGCATGGGGAACCAGAGTTCTTGACCTAATTCTCTTTTGCTACCTGTTTCTGGACTTTACTTTTGCCCATTTGAAAAGTGAGATGGTTGGATTGGATACTCTTTAAGGACTGACCCTGGAACTCTATGATCCCCTTGAGTACCCACTCACTCATATATGCCTCCATGTCTGCCATTTTACTAGATTATAGTAGCAAACAGGTTCCATTTCAAATACTGAATCCAATTAATTAGTGGGATTTAGTATGGTAACATGCTTACAGTTTTATAGCCTAGGAGGAATAGGCTATATTATATAGCTTAGGTAGTAGTACACTATATCAACTGGAGCTTCGTGTTGAAAGATTTCTGAAGCTGTATCTGACCTCAGAAAGACAAGTTTGCCATGTCCCCATGGGGTGGACTGGGGCTGGAGATGCGGCCATGCTGGTTCCTGCATTCTATTTGTTCCATGCATTGTAACTCCCTTCCTTGTACTAGATTAGGAGCTCATCAAGATATGAATTCTGTTCTTTCATCTTTATATCCCTGGCACCCAGCTCAAGGCCTTTAAAATAATAGATGTTCAAAAATGTTGAAGGATCCAATGGAGGAACGAAAGAACAACCATCATGTAGCTCTAAAACTCTACAAGTCTTCAGGATATAGGTTGTTTCTTTTAATGCCTGCATTTTCTTTGTATAACGCAACACTTGGCCTCCTACAGTTCTCAATAACAGTAATGTGAATGTTTCGGTGATTGGAATAATTCTACAGCAAAAAGGTATAAAGAAGGGGTAATTACATGGTTTCTGGAGTCAAAGTGCTTGTGTTCAAATCCCAAACCTGCTGTTTGAAGTTATCTTTCGGCAGGTTTCTTCATTTTACTAACCAACAATTTCCTCATCTGTAAGATGGGGATAATAATTGTACATAAATCATTGGTTGTTAAAAGACCTAAACAACGTGGGAGTCCACAGTGGAGTGCCTGGCACATATGAAGCACTCAGTATATATAAGTTATTATCATAATTACTAGTTAGTGCTTGACTATGAAAATGTATTACATAACATACTGGAGCCAAGGCTATTTCGTGGTTTCATAGTATGTCTAAATAAATCAAGGCTATTTTGAGGGAGACAAACAAAAAAAATATATATATCTATATATATCTACATCCTTTTGAGAGGGTGTGGAGTGTTGGGAGATTGTGTGTAGGAGGAGGAAGAACACAGAAAAATTGAAATTAAGAACCCAGAACCTTCCCACCATCTCCAGATAATTTTCCAAAGCCCCTTATCCCTAAGTCTTATAAACATTTTCTGTCTTCACAACCAAGTTCAAGGTGAGAGGCACAAAATAATTCCTTTGCTCAGTCTTTGACCCTGGCTGGACTGTCCCCTCAAAGTTACATCAGTACTTATTTCAACAATTTCAGTCATGCACCACACAACAACATTTTGGTCAATGACAAACCAAATATACAAGGGTGGTCTCATAAGCTTATAATATCATATATTAACTGTACTTTTTCTATGTTTAGTTATGTTTAGATACACAAATATTTAGCATCATATTATAATTACCTATGGGATTTAGTATGGTAACATGCTTACAGTTTTATAGCGTAGGAGGAATAGGCTATATTATATAGCTTAGGTAGTAGTACGCTATATCAACTAGGTTTGTATAAGCACACTATATAATGTTCACACAATAATGAAATTTTCTCATGCATTTCTCAGAATGTATCCCTTTGTTAAGCAACACACGACTGTATTTTCTTAAACTCTTTGTATACATCAGATTCTTCAAAGACTTTACAAAAGAAAATGACCAGAGACACTGGATTATAGTCTGGTAGGACTGTAGATCCCTTTTCCATTCTATAATTACCTGTATATACTAAACGGCATATAGACATAAATAAGGGACATATAAAGGGAACTGTACAAAAATGTTGTAGTGGTGAGTTAGTATGGCTTACATTAGAGGGAAAGAAAAATGTTATGGCCCAGGTCATAAAGTTGATTAGTTGACTAAGTAATTGTATGTCAAAATGGGTAGCAGAGAACCTAAAATACAGTAGACAATCAGTATGTTACTCATCTCCTTCTACTCTATATCTTATAATTGTTGTCAACATTCACAATACACTTGGTTCTTAACACTCAATTCAAAAATTGTTTTCACAACCTTCTTCAAAACCTTCTCTCACTCACTTTAGTTTGTAAGTATGAATTATCTTCTTACTTTACTGATAAACAACACATATTCAACATTGTCTTAGTCCATTTTGTGCTTCTATAACAGAATACCACAGACTGAATCATTTATAATGAACAGAAATTTTTTTCTTGCAGTTCTGGAGGCTGGGAAGTTCAAGATCAAGGTGCAGGCTTCTGGCAAGGACCTTCTTGCTCCATCATAACATGGTAAGAGGCACCACATAATGGAAGGGTAAGGAGAGGACGAGAGAGAGACAAAAGGGGGCCAAACTCATCCTTTTATAAGGAACTCACTCCCTAGATAACAGCATTAATTCATTCATGAGGGCTCTGCTCCTGCCAAAGGTCCTATCTCCCAATGCTGTTACAATGGCTATTAAATTTCAACCTGAGTTTGGGAGGGGAAGAACACTCAAACCACAGCAAACATGTATCTATAGCATATCTTCTGTCTGCCAGGTACCTGGTAGGTACTGTGAAAGACACAAAATGAACCAGACATTGATCTTATTTCCAAGGATTTTAGAGTCTAATTAGTCTAGTGTGGACAGAGGGGTTAAGTATGACACCCTGAATCATTATAATACAGTAAAAAGTCATCTAGAACTTAGAAATTTAGGCAAAATAAAATGGGTGAGAAGGACAGGAGGAAGAAAGAAGGAAAAAGGAAAACTTAGGTATATTTAGTAGCCACTGTACACCGGGCACTGTTCTAGCCACTTAACCATGTTATGTCTATATAGCTATACTTATGTCTCTACATCTATATAAATTGCATCTATATCAGTCATCTATATTTACCTGATAAAATATATATGTATCAGCAAGTAATTATTGTCCCCATTTTACATATGAGGAAGTAGAACATCTGAAAAGTATTCTTAGAAAAGGGGGAAAAATAACATTTGCTAAAATTGTCCCCTTGACTCATCTTTGATTCTCTTTACAAGCCTCCATATCCTTCTTCAGAATAATAAATTTTATTTATTAAATGTCAGGTATCTGCTAAACTCTTTATACATATTACATAATGATAACAAGAACACATCAAAGTAGTTGTGTTTGTTCTCTCTCATTTTATAATTGAGAAAATGAAGACTCAGGGAACTCATAGAAGGGAAGCACTCCAAATTGAGGCATTCTCTGTTAAGTTTTGCTTCTACTTCAACAGCTAAAAATATATACATATACAATACATATATGTGTGTATGTTTATATGTGTATACATGCATATATATTATAATATTATTATCTAATATGTATTAAGCTCTCATAAAGTGTTAAGTATTAATCCAAGGGTTTTTTGTGTATAACAAAATTTTGATTCACTTGAATGGATAAAATTTTATCATGCCCATTACTAAGGTGTGGTCATTATTCTCATTGTACAGATGGGAATACTAGGTTAGAGGAGTTGGAAATTTACTGAAGGTTACTTAGTAGATAAATGGCTGAGCAAGGATGAATTCAGAGCCTCCACTCTGAAGCAGCTGAAAGGAAAGGGCTGGAATTGGGAACTAGACACAATGATGAGGTATATACCTCTTCAGAAGTAGAGGTGGAGAATTGAAAACTTCATGAGAAAATGGCTTTGTTCTATCCTTAATTCTCTCCAAGATCCAGATACAATGTCAGTGCATAGGTTTCAGCTCACAGTTAAATAGCTTTAGTGTCTGCTTTGAAAGAATTCAAATTTCTCTGAGATCCCCATTAATAAGAAGCCAGTAGGATGTCCCAGTCTCCCACCAGCCCAGTTAGCCTAGTCTGACACGTTAAACCTACATTTCTGAGAGTGACAGACAATGTCATTTTGTTTGTTCTTGGGTAAAGCCCTGTCACTTTCTCTGCTTAGAGAGGTCTGCTCAGTGTATTGATGGCCCCAATCAGGAAAATCCACTCTAGTGTGGACAAGGCCAAAACGTTTAGGGAAAATACTTTCTGCCTGGAGATAAGGCTGGTGCCTCAGTTGGTAAGACTGGGGAGTAAGGAGACAGAGAAGCCTTGATACTTGATTCACCTGCCTAGGAACAAGGAGCATGGGATGTGGAACAAGGAAAACTGGGCTGGGATTAAATCTCTGTTCTATATTTTACCAACTGAATCAATTTAGGTTACTTAAAATTTTTGAGCCTCAGTTTTCTGAACTGTAAAATTATCATAACATTGAGCATTATTAAATTAAACAATGTACAGAAAGTGTTTAGCTTATTTACTGGCACACAATAGGTATTAAAATATGGTAAATATAATGATTATTAGAGTCATTATCATTATCATCTTCATCATCAGGCTCCTTATCATTAATAACATAGATTATAAGCCAATATTCTTATATGCCCCTTCAGGATATCAGAATCTACCACCATTGGATAATTTGGTCAAAGACTTGTTGTAAGTCGCAGAAAAGATCCTCTTTCTCCAGTTCAAATATTTGCTCATCTGGAGGCAAAGGAGAGCTTGCTTTAGAGATTAATATGAGATGAAACTTTAAATTTCCCTTGTTGGAACTGGGTATTCTAAATAATGACCTGGAGATTTGAATATTAACACTCCCTAAAGAGGAAGTAGCCAAATGGCATTCTCTATTGCTTTCCACAAATCCAATTAGTGAAAAGCTCAATTTACAATGAATCATAGGAGGAGTGCATGGAAAGAACACTATCTGGGAATAAAGAGAGATATGATCTAGTTGAAATAATACTCATAATTAATTTTTCCACTACTCTCTGCAGTTTAAAACACATTCATAAATATGACCTTTCCAACAACCCTATGGGTGCATGTTATTATTATTTTTCCATAATCCAATCCCTCACTAAATCCTGCTGACGGTACGCCTAATTGTACCTGGATTCCAATCTTTCCGCTCCATAAAAACAAATACAAATCTAGATTAGGGCTCATCACCTCTTCTAAGTCTGTCAATAGCCTCCTCACTGATTTTCCTTTCTCAGTTTCACTTCCTTTACTTCATTTTCTATTCTTATGCCAGAAGGCTTTTTCTAAATTACATACAAGATAATTTTACTCCCTAGAATCAAACTTTTCAAATTCTATGTCTGCAAATTACCATGAGATCCTTCTTTCTCCCACCCTCTCTCTTTTCCTCCCTTCCCTTCTCCTTCCTTCCTTCCTTCCTTCCTCCCTCCCTCCCGTCCTCCCTCTCTTCCTTCTTTCCCTCCCTCCCTCCCTTCCTTCTTTCCTTCCTTCCTCCCTCCTTCCTTCTCTCCCTCCCTCCCTCCTTCTCTCCCTCCCTCCCTTCTTCTCTCCTTCCTTCCTTCCTTCCTTCCTTCCTTCCTTCCTTCCTTCCTTCCTTCCTTCCAGTGGTATTTGTTCGGCAAATTCTGCCCCACAAATTTCATGTTAAAGCACCAGTAAGCACAGCTACTTCAGCAGAGGCAGAGTTTAGCACTTGCTTGCACCCTGCTCCCTGATTCATTGCCCCACTCTAATCTAAGTAGTTTATGGAACACAGTTTGACAAGCAACCGGCCTGTAGAATCAAGTTCAGTTATCTCACCTGGCAAAAGAGTCCAGGTTTAACTCACCAGGCTCCTCAATGAGGAATTAGCTCAAGTTACAAAGGCAGTTCAGAGAAGTGGGCCTCCCAAGGCACAGGGTTGAACTGACACTGGTGGAGGGAGAGTGAGAGGAGTCTAAATGGGGAATGATAAGCACACCCACCTGCCACTCCACTTTTTGATCCAATGGGACCTTTCGAAATTACCTGAAAGAAATATTCATGCTCACACCTTAGGCTTTTTACAAGCTGGAATGTTTTTTCAACCCAATACCACAGATATTACGTCCCTGTGTAACCTCTCTGACTTCCTTTCCTTGCTTTAGGCTGTTTTATCTTGTACATCCTTTTTATATGACTCATGCTTAACTATTTGATACTGCATATCACCAGGTACTGACATCACACTTTTATTTTTTTAATTTTATTTTCATTTTTATTTTTTGAGATGGTTTTGCTCTTGTTGTCCAGGCTGGAGTGCAATGGCGCAATCTTGGCTCACTGCAACCTCTGCCTCCCAGGTTCAAGCAATTCTCCTGCCTCAGCCTCTGGAGTAGCTGGGGTTACAGGCATGCACCACTACACCCAGCTAATTTTGTATTTTTAGTAGAGATGGGGTTTCTCCATGCTGGTCAGGCTGGTCTTGAACTCCTGACCTGAGGCGATCCACCCGCCTTGGCCTCCCGAAGTGCTGGGATTACAGGCGTGAGCCACCGTGCCTGGCCACATTTTTATGTGTTTCTCCCACCAGACTTTAAAAACAGGGAAAATATCCTATTCACATCTTGGTCACAACCACAGTGACTGGCACATAGTAGGTGCTCAATATACATGTGTGGAGCTGGACATAGGCTTCATTTCACAAGTAAACAAATGTACAGATGGTATACAAGCACTGGCTAAGTGGTGTGACTGAGACGATGACCTGTAGGACATGATTATTTGCTTTACAAAAAGATTTGATTAACAAGAACTGAATTAACAAATGACTATTCTCAAGACACAGCTATCACATTGTGAGAGAGACACCATTATCTCACCAATAAAATAGATTAACTAAATTTGGGGCTGCAATCTAATTCTGAAGCCTGCATGGAATGAGATGATGAATATGAGGGGAGGAAGAGAATAGAAGAGAAGAAATATATGGGCAGGATACAGGGCTTTCTGGCAACCATAAATAGTGCCCTCAGTAATCTGAGCTTTTGACCAAGAAAATCAATGAATAACAGCTGACAGCTGATATATGGGCAATCACCATAGAAACAGCACGGCTCCCAGGATAGGTCAAGACTTGACTGTAGCCAAATCAGCATATTATCATATCTCCAGGAAGAACATAGAGCACCAAAGCAGAGGGGTTCCTTTACCATGGGAAGTATAAAGAGAAAGAAAATTGACAGAGCGGTGCAATGCTCCCCACGAAGAGAGACACTGAACCCAGAAAGCATCAACACCCCAGTTGCTAGAAAAGCATTTTCTCTTTGGGGAGAGAAAAGCTTCATCAGAGCTAATCTTAGCTCTCATGAAAAATTCTTCCTGATAATCTTTATTTCTTCTCTTTGTTCCTTTTTCCTTCTTTTTATTCATTTACCTAACTTATAGGTATGAAAATAGTCATTAAAAACGTATACTCTGGAGTCAAATAGCCTCAGGTTCCCATCCCAGTGTTGTCCCTGATTAAAAATGGAACTTGAGTGTGTACCTTGGCAGCTGCTATCTTCCTATATGTCTTAGTTCTTCTTACAGAAGGGCGCTTCTCCTGCCTTCCAACTCCTCCAGTGCTCTCTCTGATGGCTGGAGCCTGTTGTGCCTGCATGCACACAGCAGGCTGGAGGGCTGGGGAATAATGCCCTCGAAACCTATTCTTAGCAGACCTCAGCCAATGACTGATGGAAGGTGGTATATAGATACCCCATCTCCCTTGCTTTTCTGATGGGATAACTCTCATGTAAGTGTTCTGCGCTGGCTGCTGGCGTTTCCCCATGGCATTGAGTTCTAGTTACCCACAGTGGTATCTGACTAGATGAAGCACCCTTTGTTGGCTGTTTTCCTTTTCCTGTCTCACTCCTCTACTCCCCCATGGACGTTTCCTGAGAAATCTCTCAAACTACTTGCACTTGAATCCTATTTTCAGAATTTGTTTCTGAGGTACCCAAACTAAGAAAGTGACTTCATCTTTGCAGTTTTCATTTTCCTTTTTTGAAAATGCTGACCATGGTACATAAATGCAAGTTGTGAAGATTACATAATACATGCAAAGTTCTTAGGCTAGTGCCTGGCACATCTGAATGCTTTAAATATGTTATCTATAATTTGTATTCTTGCTGTTAAGAGCTCAATACATATCAGATATGCCAGGTACCTTGTTAGGTGCTATGGAGAGGATGGTGAACCAGACGCTACCCATCTCTGCCCAAAGGGAACTTACAATCTCATGGACAATAAAAGTTAACTAAAATGCCACATGATAAATGCTACAAAAGAGAGAAATGTGTGGTGCTGTGGGAGTACATAATAGAACTTAACCTGGTATGAGGGCCTCAGATATTATTTAATAGGAAGCTGACATTTAAGGAATGATAGGTGTTGGCCAAAGTGTGTGTGTGTGTGTATGTGTGTGCATATGTGTGCTTACAAGTGTGTGTGTGCGTGCATGTGCACACACATACACATATGTAAGCAAAGGCAGTATTACAGGTGGAGAAAATTTTGTATCAAAAGACCCACAGATATGAGAAACAAAAATAGAGGGAGAGTAAAAAGGAAATAGGGAAGAAAAGAGGGAGAATAACTGTCTCTAATTGCCTTCAAGGAACACAAAAAAAGTGGTCTTTGATTCTATATTCATCAATCACTATGTTAGCTCCCAAGTTTTTTGCTTTTTGTTTTGTTTTGTTTGTTTTTTGGTACAAGGGAACCAGACAGATGTCTCGTGAGCAAACACTGCCCTTTAGTCACTCAAAGAAATATTTGTGCATTTTAGATGAACACATTGATAGGTAGTCTGATTTCATTTGAATTTGTGTATTATGAGTTAGGTTATGATCAGGCAATTCCCTTGAGTTATGTCAACTCCAGGCCATTAACAAGGTGGAGTTTATGGAGCCATAAGGCTAAGAATGCCAACCCATGGCTGGGTTATTACAGGGTGATGCCTCCCATGAGTCTTCTTGGTGAGCTCTTACTTCTGGGGCACTCCTCTCTTGACAACGAGCCTGATTCTACACCAGCAAAAACATCCATCCCTTCCCTTATTCTAGATTCTGGATTCCTCTCTTGTAATGCCAGTAAATGTATAACCTTGGCTATTTAAGCAGCCAAGACCATTGCTGACTGCCTGAGTAATCTTCTTTACTCAAGTCCTGGGCCCTGGAGAAGTTATAAATCAGATGGCTGTGGTGGAGGTGAATTAAATATTAGTTGGTGCAGCTCTTTGAACAGTTAGAAGGGAAAGTGCTCACTAAATGCATGTTATTATTATTGCTTCTGGCTATAGATACTGGGTCATTGGAGACCCCTTACTTTATAAATATTTCTTTTTTTTTTCTTTTAGTGGTTGTAATGAAACTTATCTGCTTGCAGGTATACCCTGGTAGTCTATCTTGGCTTTAATGCTGAGTAACTTCAAGAGACAATGACCACTGGAATTGCCACCACTCAGACATCATCAAGAAGACATATGTTTTATTCTTAATTGAGTGGTATGGATTATTTTTCTTTTCAGTATTACTGGAAAGGGGTACGAGTGGATTTTCCAGAATGGTGTAATAAAAATGAAATTTGATTGATTAATTCAATAGCTACGGCTAAGAAGCATCTTGTGCAGCAGTGGAGAGGAAATGCACAGTGCCCTACAGACAGAAGCTGCATAACTCACATTTGTTTGAGAGAGAGGCTCCTGAGCTAGATTCTGGCTTCTTGGAGAATAGCTCACTCTTGGAAGTATAAGCCAAGTCAAATGGGTTATTTTCCTCATGAGCTTCATCTAGTCAGTTATAACTTTGAGACATTAGAGTATAGAAGGCAAATCATATGATAAAGCTGTTTAACAAGTCACCATTTATTTTTGCCATGGTTCTTTTTTTTTTTCTTTTGAGATGGAGTCTTGCTCTGTCGCCCAGGCTGGAGTGCAGTGGCGCAATCTCAGCTCACTGCAAGCCCCGCCTCCTGGGTCACACCATTCTCCTGCCTCAACCTCCCGAGTAGCTGGGACCACAGGCGCCCGCCACCATGCCCGGCTAATTTTTTTGTATTTTTAGTACAGACGGGGTTTCACCGCGTTAGCCAAGATGGTCTTGATCTCCTGACCTCGTGATCCACCCGCCTCGGCCTCCCAAAGTGCTGGGATTACAGGCGTGAGCCACCGCATCCAGCCAGGCCAGCCATGGTTCTTATGGCAGAAAACACTTAGTACCTGCCTGTGGGTGGGAGTCAGAGGGGTCCTGACCCCACAAAGAGGCCAGTCGAAGGGGTCAGTAGCTGATTCTACATGGCAGGGAATTTCAATTAGGGGTCATAGCACTCATGACATTGTATGAGAAACTCTGTAGGTGCACATGTTTCTCGGGAAAGGGCTATACTATTTCTGCAAGATGTCTATGAATTCCAGTAAGTAAAGAAACACTGTAGTGAAAACTGAACTCATGGACAAGTGGCATTGGAAGGTATGTTATGCTTCTAATACATCTGTGAGTCTAACAACCATTTGGCCAGAGATTTTTTTTTCCCTAGAGATACCCTCTAAAGCTTTGACCAGATTTCTAAAAAATGTGAAAGTGGCTGATTTAAAAGGAAATCTGCATGATCAAATTGAAGATAGTATGGATCCCTACTTATTCTTCAGGTCTCACTGCAAATATAATGTCCTCTTTTCTGATTTCCCACAACACTTTGCATCTATGTAACATGCATATATCTCTTTTAAATGTCTGATATCTGACTAATATTGGAATTTTTTTGAAGCAGAAACTCAGTGTTTTTCAACATTACACTCCTAGACATTAGAGTCAGGTATACTTTTGATAAAAGGGCTCCTCACATGGTGAGAACTGCATCAGCAAGGCTCCAAGGAGGTCAATGCAGGGCTCTGTGTTAGTTATGAGGCTTTCAGTTGTGAACAGCAGCTACATGGCTAGTTTAAGTCAAAGAGGAAAATTTTCTATTTACCGGTGGTGGAGGGGGAAGAATCAGAGCTGGCTTCAGGAATGACTGGATGCAGAGGAGACTCAACCAGCATCAAGACGTTCTTATCATCTGTCTTCTCTGCTTCTCTTTCCATATTAGCTCAATGTGTTCTCACAGAAGATCGATTTTTCTCCCTGTCATGGTGAGCACAGTGAACCTCCATGTTCAGTGTTTCACATTCATTACTTCCTCTAAATTGGAAGCAACTTTTTGGAATAAGCAGACTAAATCTGCTTCTTTCGTATTACAAATGATGAAACAAAATCAAGGGTGCCAACTAATTTGAATAATATCACACATCTAGAAAGCAGTGGAGCTATAAATAAAACCTTTCAAAATGTGTACATAAGTGTGGAAAAGTCTGAACTTTGGTATTATTTACACCATTATTTAAATACACAGGTAACCTCACCTTTCTGAGTTTTGGTCTTTTTAGCTGATAAATAAAGAGGGGAGAATGACATCAACCCCTCAGGATTGACCAGAGTTGATTTGTATATATATTATACACACACACACACACACACACACACACACACACATAGACATACATACATATATAGAGACTATATATATAATTATGTGCAGACTATATTTTCTGCGTGTCTGTGCACGTGCACATGTGTAAAATTATGTCTTTAAAAATTCCTGGCACATAGTAGGTTGTCAATAAATATCGACAAAGTCAAGTATCTGACTCATCTACCAAGTGTATAAAACATGACTATAAAATGAACTTCATGGAAAACCCTCCCTACAGCTTAATTTTTATTTGCCAACATTTATTTTCTCTTCTCCGTCACATTTTCATCTGCTTATTTTATTGTGTTGTATTTGGCATGCTATTCCAAATACAAACATACATTCTTAGAAATATTTTTTTTATTCATTCAAAACTAATTGTTGAGTTCCCTACTTTATGCCACTATTCTGATCCCTGGAGGATACAACTGTAAATGAGATAGATCAAGTCTCTGCCCTCATGTAGTTTACATTCTCTAAGAGAGAGAAGCTACAAACTAGCAACTACATAAATTTATAATAAATTCCCAAAGTGAAAAGACATACACTGTGAAGAAAACAGAAAGCAGCAAAGGCATAGAGAATGCAGAGAAGATAGAATTTTGGATAAGACCTCAGAGTAATCTTCTCTAAGAAGCTTCTGTTTGAAAAAAATCTTGAAGACTAGAACAGTCCGGACTATGGGACAATATGATGCACAAACATGTCTGGAAGAGGACATAGCTAGTGTAAAAGGCCTGGAGTTGGAACTAGTTTGGCTTTCTTTAAGAGCTACAAGAAAAGTAGAGTAAATAAGAGAAGGTGGTAGGAGATGAAGTTAGAAAGGTGGCCAGGAGTGAGATCATGAGGGAGCCTTCAGGTCATGGTACAAGTATGTGAAAGCTTCTCCGTGACCTGGGCAGCCATGGGAGAACATGTGAGCCAGCATCTTGAACTGATTTTCTGGGTGAGGGATGCACTGCAGCAGCCAGTGGTGGAAAAAGGGACATCGATTTTGAAAAGATGATGATAGTTTGGAGAAGGAATTCTGGAAGAAGTAAGAAGTGACCAGATTTGGAAAATACTTTGAAGATATTATCTGACAGGATTTGATGATGGAAAAGAAGAGACTGTAGGGGTTTTTAAGCTTTAAAGCAAGCTTGTCCAACCTGTGGCCCAGGATGGCTTTGAATATGCCTCTACATAAATTCATAAACTTTTTAAAAACATTATGAGATTTTTTATGAATTTTTTTAGCCTATCAGCTATTGTTAGTGTTAGTGTATTTAATGTGTGGCCCAAAATAATTCTTCTTTCAATGTGGCCCAGGGAAGCCAATACATTGGACACCCAGCTTTAAAGGAAGAGATGGACATTTAAAAATCTGTTCTAATAATAGCCAGTATTTCCTGAGCAGTCTATCGGGTCCTGTCCTAAGTGCTTTACACTCATTATGTAATTTTACACAGATATCTCACCTATTAAGTTTCTATATTGTTTGTTTTGTTTTTTAACTGACTCTCTGCTTCTGTAGATATCATTGGCTTTGTTCCCCATTTCCTATGCTGGGTGCAGCACTTAAAACTAATGGCAAATCAAACTTAAAAACTTCAATCCCTTGCATTTTCCAGGGGAGGACTTCCTTACACTCACCTACTGGCTCTTTTCTCTTGTATCCTCCAGATAATCACTCTGCTCTTTCAAGCCTTGGCCTGCCTAATTGTGCCACCCCAGATCCCCAGGACAGGGGATCAGCACCTCTATTCCTGTTCTTCAGCATCATGTATTTAATTATTTTGTGTTTATTTGTTCTGCCTGAAGGACCGGGCAAAACAATTTGTACTCCCAGAAAAACTTAAAAGTACAGAAGTTTTCTAATCAGGTCTCACATGGATGCTATGAAAACAACAGAAGCTTCAGTAAGTCCAGCTCTCGGAGAAAGAATCAGATGAACTCACTGAATGATTTTCTAGGCCTGGCATTCACACAGTTAAGTGCCTTCCTTGTTTATTGATAAAAGCGAGGATAAGTCTCAGAACCCACATTTGCTTTCACCATAACATGATGTCATGGTTAGTTTACAGGATGGCAGGCACTGAACATCCAGTGTAACAAAAACAGCCATCCTCAAAATCGATTAGATCAATCTTTACCTGGGCATAATACAGTTCCTACTCCTTTAAGTCAAAGCTTTATTGTTTGGTATTTTGGTAATTTTAATTATGAATAATAAAATTAATAGGTAAAACCCTCAACTAGGCTTCAGGCAATGCTTCACAATGAGTAAGAGCAGATATAAACTGGAGGAAGAATGAAAGTCACTGATAGTTCCTGGGACTTGCTCTTGTCTTTCCTTCTATAGCCTGCTGGCATTGAAGAAATTTATTGATTTGATGACATAACCTGGAGTGGAAAGACTGGCAGCCACATCCATTAGGCTTCTGGACACCATCATGTACTATGCACCAACTCACATGTGGGATATAATACTTGGGAGTCAAGAGTAGGCAAAGTTCTGAGGCCAGCAAGGAAGAGAAATATACGTAACCTGTTTCATAGCTGTGCTTATTTTAAAATGACACTCCATTAGCCAGGCTGAGCTTGGTTTTGTTCTTGACACTATAACATGTAAATTATTTCACCAGCTGAGACCTCAGTTTCACCATTTCTAGCATCAGTAGACTATACCAAATAATCTCTCAAGTTCTTTTAGACATGATTTTCTCAGAATCTAGTTGTTCTTTAAGACATCATTTCAAAGACACCAAAGTGAAAGATAAACTGATGAATATTTGTGCCCAAATCAAATCTCTTACAATGAAGTCCCATGTTAGAAAAAAAAAAAAAACGTCAATTAGAGGAGCAAATAAAAACTGTTATAAATTCAGTGATGCAAAGACATATGCATTCACAGCTGGGCAGGTTAAAAACACCTCCTCCTTTAACTTCTAATCTTCCCAATCTGATAACAGAGAATCTAGTTTTGAAAGTTACAGAAGAAATAGAAAATGAGAACAAACCAATAACTGAGGAAGAATTGCAGAAAGCTCTTAAAGAACTGTTTGCCTGAAAGATCATGGATCTTGAGAGATTTAACAGTGATTAAACTCAAGCATTCAAGAAATACATACATATATTTATTATAATATGTTCTGGAGAGTAGAAGATGGGAAAACTATCCAATTTGTTTCACAAGACAGATTTGATTCAGATCCCCAAAGGTGATAAAATATTACGCAAAAAAGAAAACAAATAACCTAAACTATAAATTTACAGATTCAAAACCTTCAACTAACTACTTCAGATTAGAGCTTAACAAGCTAATATTACTGATTCAATAATCCAACAGGAACATACCCAGTTTCAATATAAGGAAATTGAATAATGCAATAGAAGTTTATCAGCAGGCTAGTAATAAAAAAGTAGATGATTATTTCAATACTCCCTAACTGCGTTTGATAAAACTTAATAATTTTCATTTTTCAAGTTGGAATAAAATAATTCTTTCTTAATTTGATGAATATTCCTATTCTAAACCTCCAACCAAATAACTTTTTATTAGGGGACATGAGATGCAGATCTGTAAATTAGGGATAAAACAAGTTTGCCTACTCTGCCAACCCTTGTTTAATATTATTTAAGTAGGTCTAGCTGGTGCAATAAGGCAGATGAAGAAATAAAATTGATACATATTAAAAATTTAAAAATCATAGATCCATAAGACTTGTCTATAATTCTGAAATCCAAAATATTCTGAAAGCTGAATGTTTTGCATCACTCATTTGGTGCAAAAACAGATCTGAATGTGAATGTTTATCCTGCTGCAGATATTTTAATATGCTTGATTATGGGCTTTTCCCCAGACCCTGCTGAAGTTGTTATGTAACATACGCAACTATGCACTATATTACTATTCAAATTCCGAATTACAAGAAATATCAAGTCCCAAGGGTTTTAGATATAAAATGTTGTGACTCTCTGTCATGTGCATATGCCATGATTAGTCACAGAGAGCATTTCATAAATCAGATAACGTTTGCTACAATTAGTAAAAATAGTTACTATAACTGGCTGTAGTAAACAAAGCAAATCAAAACCACAATGAGATACCATCTCACACCAGTTAGAATGGCGATCATTAAAAAGTCAGGAAACAACAGGTGCTGGAGAGGATGTGGAGAAATAGGAACAGTTTTACACTGTTGGTGGGACTGTAAACTAGTTCAACCATTGTGGAAGTCAGTGTGGTGATTCCTCAAGGATCTAGAACTAGAAATACCATTTGACCCAGCCATCCCATTATTGGGTATATACCCAAAGGATTATAAATCATGCTGCTATAAAGACACATGCACACATATGTTTATTGCGGCACTATTCACAATAGCAAAGACTTGGAACCAACCCAAATGTCCATCAATAATAGACTGGATTAAGAAAATGTGGCACATATACACCATGGAATACTACGCAGCCATAAAAAATGATGAGTTCATGTCCTTTGTAGGGACAGGGACAAAGCTGGAAACCATTATTCTCAGCAAGCTATTGCAAGGACTGAAAACCAGACACTGCATGTTCTCACAAATAGGTGGGAATTGAACAATGAGAACCCATGGACACAGGAAGGGGAACACCACACACCGGGGCCTGTTGTGGGATGGGGGGAGGGGGGAGGAATAGCATTAGGAGATATACCTAATGTAAATGATGAGTTAATGGGTGCAGCACACCAACATGGCACATGTGTACATATGTAACAAACCTGCACGTTGTGCACGTGTACCCTAGAACTTAAAGTATAATTAAAAAAAACCACAAAGCAAATGTTAAAATTATTTATTTATATATGTCTCTACCCCCTGCATTGGTAATGTGCTTAAGGGCATGGGTTACATTCTGCTCACTTTTCTCACATTTGTGCCTCACATATTGCTTGGGATAGAAAAAGTAAACACAAACATTATTTTATTTATTTTATTGTTATTTATTTATTTCTTTGAGACAGGGTCTCTGGCCGGAGTGTGGTGGCGTGATGTTGGCTCACTGCAACCCCTGTCTCTTGGGTTCAAGGGATTCTCCTGCCTCAGCCTCCCAAGTAGCTGGGATTACAGGCACGTGCCACCACACCTGGCTAATTTTTGTATTTTTAGTAGAGACAGGGTTTCTCCATGTTGGCCAGGCTGGTCTTGAATTCCTTAAGTGATCTGCCCACCTCTGCCTCCCGAAGTGCTGGGATTACAGGTGTGAGCCACCACACCCGGCCACAAACATTATTTTAAAGAATAAGAGATGAACGTGCAAGTAAGAAAATCTTTATTAAATTTTCCAATTTCCTATTTTAATGTCTACATTTTATAATTTCAATTAATATTCTGAGAATTTAAATTTTGTTTTGCTTTGTCTTACTTTCAAAATCCAAAAGGAGTTTAATGCAAAATACATTTGGAAAAGCAAAATAAGCAGAAATAACAAAGAACTAAATTTTTAAAATTTAATTCAATTAATTTTAAGTTTGGGATACATGTGTAGGACGTACAGGTTTGTTACACAGGCAGTCGTGTGCCATGGTAGTTTGCTGCACCTATCAACCCGTCACTTAGGTATTAAGCCCCACAAGCATTAGCTATTTATCCTGATGCTCTCCCTCCCCAACCGCCACCCCCAACAGGCCCTGGTGTGGGTCGTTCCCCTCCCCTCCCACGTGTTCTAATTGTTCAGCTCCCACTTATACATTCTTTAAAAGACAAGCAACTGAAAGAGAAACCAGGTTCATGCTGAGTTCTTCTACCTACTCTTACAGTGACTTTTGGAAAGTTACTTCCCCCTTCTAAGTATCAACTTCGTTACACAGAAAATAATAACAGTAAGTGAGGCTGAAAAGCCTTTGATATACTTATTGGCTACATTGTTCCCCCAATGAATTGCTTGTTTAATATCCCTTTTGGCGACTTTGTTTCATCAAAGCATTGCTCTGTCTTTTGTAAATTGATTGGTTTATTTTAAATGCCTTGCACGTCATATGTGTTAAGTCACTGGCCTTTAGATCCTGTTATACATTTTAGGTCTATTTTGGGGTAGTCCCTTCTATTGCATTGATATTTGTAGCTTTTCGTTCCCTAACAAGACATTTTTATATGGTAACTTAATAATATATTTCAATGTATGATATAGGTTTGAGATAATATTATTGACATAAGCATAGTTTTCAGAAAGAGGCAACAGAATAAAATGTAGTATTTTGTCTACTCCTTCCAGAAACTCCATGAAGGAGGTATTGTTATTTCCATTTTATGCGTAAGGAATCTGAGGGCACAGAGAATTGCCTAGAGTCTCATAGTTTGTTAATGGTAAGGCCAGGGTTCATGTCTAGGGTCCATTTCCCTACCTGGGCAGTATAGAAGTGTTTTTCCTTAATTGTCAATATGAATTGCTTAGACAAAATAGACATAGCAACACACTATGTATAGGGCCTTACATACAGGAAGCTCTTAATACTTTTGCAACTATTAACTTCAGAATAGAGAGACTTAGATTGCAAATTTGTAAAGGTAGTTATAGAGAATGACCCCAAAGGAAGGAGGGACTGAAGAAGCCAGCCTTGGGCTCAGAGGGTAGAATTCATGTAGGAGGTGAGGTAGTATCTCTCCTGTTCTCCTTTTCTTAATTCAAGTTCTCCATCACTGGGCGGAACTCAAGTTTACTTTTTCCTGTCACATTTGTCAATCAGGGTTTCAATAAGTCAGTATTGGCCTTAGCTACTTCAGATGTTTCCCTAAGTGGGAGTGAGACCTGGAGGACAGACAGGGACCCTATTTCTGCAAAGAACCTGAAGGGTTAAAATGGGCTCAGCAGTAGTACATATGACAAGCACTTCAGAAAATCACAGAGCATCACTCTACTCTACTCAGCAATAGGTTAATCCACAAGGCTGGGGTCCCTTCTCATCTAGGATGCCTGCAACCTGCATTCAACAGTCTGCATGCAAATTTACTCTGCTGAGTACACAATCCCTTCTTTCAGATGAAAGTCCTCCCTGGTTTACTCCTCCAACTTTTTGGTTAAAGCCCCCTATGTTCACAAGTTCTCTCCTAGAGCAGGCTGTAATCGTACCCATACTGTTTCCTCCAACCAATCTTCTGTTCAATTTAACTATAATTTACTGAATGACTGGGGTTGTCCAGCACTGTGCTAGGTCCTAGGAAGACAGAGACAATTAAACAAGGACCCCACTCTCAAGAACCTCACAGATTACGGCGGCAGGGTGGGGAGAAGATAGACAGCCCTGGAGTCCATTGATCCTCAGAAATATGGTTAGAGACTTTAGTATACATATAAGCTATGAATGTTTAACTCTCACAGAGAAGTTGGTTTTTAAAAAATAAATTTGAAAGGTGAATAGGAGCTTGTTAGGTAGGCAAGGCAGCCGAGAGCAAAGACCATTCCAGGCAGAAGAATCAGCACATGCAAAGACATGGCCAAATGCAGAAAAAAACATAATGCACAGGGAGAGAGTATGTGGAGAAACACGATCATGATGGGTATGGTAGTTATGCTGAGGAATTTGAATTTTAACGCAAGGGCAGTCAGGAGCCATTGAGGTTTTACACATGGGATGATTACCCAGGGCCTCCTGCTTCGAGGTCATTTCAAGACTGGTGTCATCCACAATCTTGCCTCAAAAATGGAATGGAATTTCCTTTGCCACAGGAATCTGCCCACCCCATGCCTGATTCATCTGGATATAACCTTGGACACTGTTCCTTTAACTGTCCAGATTCCTTTGCAAGGACATTTCCTCCTGCCAGCTCCATCCCTGGTAGGTTCTTACTGCCAAAGTGCAGTCCATGAATCAGCAACATCCATATCACCTGAGAGCAAGTTAAAAACGCAGAATCTCAGGTCCTACTCAAGAAGTACTAAATAAGAATCTAAATTTTAACAAGATTCCCCAGGAAGCCATGTACATCCCACAGTGCACTTTCATGCACTGAGGTAGGTTTCATTACTGAGCCTGTTTGCATTGTAACAAAACTGCTATCTCTCTTGCACCGTCTTTATGGAGGAGAGAACAGGGTTGCGGAAGGAAGCTGACATCCTTGAGGGTCATGCCCTAGGTCGATACCTGCAACTGGGCTAACCACATGCCATGTTGTTTCATTTTATCTTAAAACAACTTTGCAAGGTGAGTAGCCAAATGCTTATCTGACAGAGAAACTGAAGCGCAGAGAGCTGTCACACAGCTAGGAGTATCTAACCTCATTATGTGTCCTCTTCTCCAGAGCTCTTCATGAATCCCCAAAATAATAAACCCACCATCTCTACCTATCCAAAAAACAAGGCCCCAACCCAGAAGGGAAAGAGACTTGCCAATTTGCCCATCACCTACCAGCCTTGAATGACTACCTTCCCACCTCAGCCGGTTCATCATTCAGCTTCTCAGCCAGCTCATCATTCAGCTCAAACGCAAATATTCCCATATAGAGTTAGGGTACTCCCAGTGTCCTTCTTCACCTCCCAGCTTGCCTTTTCCTCCTGTGCACATACTGCAGTTAGATTTCACATTACCGTCTCACACCTGAGTTCCAGATTCTCTGTCAGCACAGTCCTATCTCAGGGAGAGAAATCAAACAGCTGAAAGGCAGCCTGCTCTCAGAGAGGGGAAGAGAGGGGAGGTCGATTCGACATAACTGCCTAACAAAGTATATTTATGAACATCATTGGAACAAATGTCTCCGGTAACTGCAGCCATCACCTCCTAATGTCACATCATGGAGACACTGGAAAACAAATAGGGCTTATAACCTGATTTCCTATCATCTGGTAACAGCATCAGTACCTCCAGCCTTCTCAGCTATGCAGCATATGACTCACATTTCCCTTCTAACTTCCAAGACACTTTGGGACAAAAAGCAAAAGAAAAGAAATAAAACAATATTTTAAAATGTCAATTTCATCAGTAGCTTGTTTCTTAAAGAATCCAGGCCGGCCGGGCGCGGTGGCTCACGCCTGTAATCCCAGCACTTTGGGAGGCCGAGGCGGGCGGATCACGAGGTCAGGAGATCGAGACCATCCCGGCTAAAACGGTGAAACCCCGTCTCTACTAAAAATACAAAAAATTAGCCGGGCGTAGTGGCGGGCGCCTGTAGTCCCAGCTACTCGGGAGGCTGAGGCAGGAGAATGGCGTGAACCCGGGAGGCGAAGCTTGCAGTGAGCCGAGATCCCGCCACTGCACTCCAGCCTGGGCGACAGAGCGAGACTCCGTCTCAAAAAAAAAAAAAAAAAAAAAAAAAAGAATCCAGGCTATTGATCATTACAAATGGTCTAAAAGGTGCTAAAACGAATTACTAGGGACTCAAACTCCTTGAAAATTGGTCTAGCAGGGGGAGAAATGCAATCATTTTAATCTGGAAGATTCAAGCTATTTTCTTAGACCCTTGATTTTTTCGAGATTCTTGGCTGTCCCCTTACCTATACTTTCCCTGTGCTCCTAACTCAGATGTGTCCTCTCTCGGTCCCTTTCTCTGCGTTTCGGTCACCACTGCCCTTGTTGAGTGTCCTGTTCCCTCCTCCTCCTCTCATTTGGAATGTTGCAGAAGCAATCTGCTGGTCTCCTGACTCTAAGCTCCTTTCTCTCCAACCTGCCTTCTGCTCTGGGTTACCATTGTGTACATTCTCTTTTCTCATCTAGGCTGTGAATTCTTTGGGGTCAGGGAACCAACCATATCTCTTTTATTTTTCTGTCTGCAGAACCTAGCATAGAACCCACAGCAAAATACTATGGAAGGGAATTCCATTTCTCCTAGCATACTCTTGTTGCAATAAAGTAAAACAAATATGCAAGCTGAAAGCTTCCCCTGGGCAAGGGATGATAAGTGGAACTGACTTGTTCAACCCTCTTATTTTAAACTGGAGATGTATACAATGTCATTGGCATTCTCTCGACTTGGTATACCACTTTTATTGAACATGAAAATGCATTGAAAATGCTTTCTGATGGTCACTGCAACCTCAGTCCTTTAAGGACTTAAAACTTATTTTACATCATTTATACTTTTTTTCTTATACTGACTTAAGATCTTTAACCTTCATTAAATAAGAAGACAAGAATGGCCACAGACATTTCCTGGAACCTAACCCTACAGGTAGGGACAGTCTGCTGCCCTTACACGTATTTTGATCAAGAAATATGCCCTAAAATGCTTTGAATGCTGTGCGGGTCCCCAGCAGTGGAGTCTTAAATGCAGCTCCAGGGAAGCTAGACCACATCCCTGCTATGCCCTGTCAAGCTGCATCTACCGAATTAGGGTAGGAGTTAACATGTTATACAATGTGACCAATGGGATCAGAAGCAATAACATGACCTGTCAGCCAGTGCTTTCCTGACAATTCTGGGGTAAAGAGATTGCCTGCTAGGGAGCTGCGGGGGCCAGGAGGAGGGGAGGAAGAGCTGGTGTGGGATATGGGGGGATAGGGCTATTTTATTCCTTATTTACAAAAGTGGTGCTTGGTAGGGAGAGAGTGGTAAATTGGCTTTATTTTCATAGTCTTATTTTAGAGTTTTGCTTGCAGGCTGCAAAACCAAAAGCCTTTTCTTAGATGGGCATGGGCAAGAGTTGCAAAACTTTAAATGCAGCATTTCAGGAGCTTGAAGGTCTCTTGGGAGCAGAGCCAGAAAGAAAGTTCTGTAAGGCCCCTTGTTTTCTCAGGGTGAGGAAGGTTCACCTCAGTCAACGCTGTGGACAGACAAGGCCAAGAAATGCAACTGAAGGTTGGGGACACCTGGCGCCAGCTGAGAGGGGATTGAATCCTGGCTTGTGTTTGTTGGCATTGGGGCCCAGGGCTGGCCTCAGCTTGTAGCAGATGAATTCCCTAATTTTGTTGATCAGGAAGAGATGCAGCTCAGTTCCTGTCTGAACTGTGCAGAAGCTACCCTTAAGTGTGTCAGCTAGGACTGATTTACAGAACCACAACCGACAGCTATTTCAGTGGTAGAAAATTTAAAAAAGGAAGGGTTCTATGAAGAGCAACCTCACTTGCTCAAAACTCTGATAAGTTCCACATTTGCAACAGGTCATTGGCTGAAATTCCTAAGCACTAACTTCCTAGAGCTCTCTGTCCCATTGCTACAAATTTAAACCTTTGTGACAACACTGACCACATATATAGGACGAAAAGGGAAACTAAAGGTCTTTCTTTAATAGAATTTATATTTGATCTCTATGTTGCTTGATACCTGGACCACTCTCAAGGACTTTGGCTTGGAGCTCCATGGTTTGGCTACCTGATGAAATTTCTCTCTCTCTATCTAGCCTCTTAAAACCTGATTTCTGCCCTTTCCTTCTAGGCAAACTGGATCCCTGAATTCAGATATGTATTTTACCATCCACATCTCTGTGATGGAAAACTCTTACCCAAGTCTATTACCTTACCTTGGAGGCTTCTCACTGATTCACATACTGAATCCCTCCTTCCATAAACTGGCTCTTCTGATTTGAAAGATCAGCTCTGAGGCTCTCTGCCTCCTCTTACCTTATTCCTAAAGCATACAATAATTGCTCAATAAATATATATATTTTAATCAATTTTCCAGTTTCTTTTCTAGACCTAGTCAAGTGGTCATGAAGTGGTTTTAGCCTCCTGGTTTTATAAGAGGAGGACCAGGTCATCAATTTGCCCTTTTACTAAGGACAGTTTCCCCATAAGGGAAAGCAACTTCTGGAGCATTATGGCAAACTCACCAAGCTTATAATGACTTGAGTTTACCATGTGCCTAATCAGGCTTGAATTATCTATAGGTTACCATGTTGCAAGCCTCAGATCTCCATCTGGTAAACTTGAGCAATGTGCCTTCTTACATGTGAGAACTGTTAATAAAGAGCTTCTGAGAAATACAATCAACAATAATAAATACTTTATCCACATGTTGGAATCACAAATGGAAATTATGACCCTTAATTGTGGTTCTGCACGTCATCCAGGTGGCAGAACACCTGGAAATCATGGAACACCATGCTCCTTAGAACACCATAATAGTTGCAAAGTTCCACTGAAAAAGACACAGTTAATCCCAATCTCTGAACTAGTTATAATTTTTATGAACAGAAAATATGACTAGATTGCTGCATACAAATGCAACAGAAAACCAGAACAAAGTATTCAAATCTATTAAAAAATATATATCATGACCTAAGCATGGTCAGCTATTTCTGAGTCTTTCCAATAACATTATTCACTACTTTTTTATTAATTTGGTCATTGGCAGGTGCACGTAGGAGGCCAAATAACAGCCAGTCTCAAAGGCTCAAGAGAAAACTGGAGAAAGAAAGTTGTAAAATGAGAAAATTTTATCAATTAACTTATTTTTTCTGTCAAAGAAACATTGTTATGTTATTTGACTTTTTACAAAGGAATGCTTCAGAAAAAGTGGAAAAATAGTCTTAGATTAAGAAAGTCCTTCACAAAGAAGAAAACCAATCCACTTAAGCCAAAGCAATCAGTGGGTTTAATGCTGGTCATCTCTACCAACTTTGACGAAGCCTACTGTCAGAGATCTGTTGAGAATGCTGCTTTCAAACTCACGGGATTTTTCTCAAGACAAAAGACAAAGGCCACTAGTTTCTCAGTTATTGCTCTTCCCCTCCCACCTTACACATCAACATGTTTCTGCAAACCACAACACTTGAGCATAGAAAAAAAGTATAAGAAAATCGTATTATGTGTGTGCATGTGTGCATGTGTGCATGCATATATATATATATGTATGTATATATATTACCTTAATTAGACAAGCCCATCAATGTCCAAGAACAGTGTTACTCAAGCTGTCTTCAGAGCAGCAATACTGTTTATCCTGAAAATAAGAAAACACAGAAAAATACATAAATTCCAAGATTGCCTGCTTTTAAATCTGGTGATTCACAGTCTAGAGAAGGGAAAAAGGGAATCGGAAAATGAATGAGGGCTCTTCACAGTAGTTTACCTAAAAACCAAGAAAACCAGTAATAGGCATTTTTTCTTTTTCTGATCTTCGTTTTAAAGATTTCTAAGAATATAGGCTGGTGGTTATAGAATTAGACTTATAGCCAAAGCACTCATGCTGGTCAGGGACTGTATCATGGAAGAAAGAGAAAAGAGGCTCTTGTGTCAAAAATGCTTTGGCCAAATTATTTAGTCGCTCAGAGTTTAATTTTCCTCATCAGTAAAATGAGACCACTAATACTTACTCCATAGCCCTCTGACAAGAATTAAGTAGAAGAAAATATGTAAAGCTTCCCACACAATGTCCCACAAATAGTATGCACTGCATACATTTTAGCGTTGGTTCCTTTCCAGCACGCCCTCCTACAAGCCCTTTCCTTCTTTCGTTATTACTTCCAATACCTATCACAATGTTAGCTCCATGGTGTTTGAGAAAACATAAAATATCACAATGATTTCAAAACAACTATTTTAAAAGCGGAAAAAAGAAATGATAGTCAAATTCACATTTAATAAGAACAGCTAAATTTATTGAATATTTCCTATGTGCTACAGCAAGTACTAATATTGCCTACGTACTAATAATTTTATACCAGTCGTTTCTTTCTCTTTTTTTTTTTTTTTTTTTTTTTTTTTTGAGATGAAGTCTCGATCTGTCACGCAGGCTGGAGTGCAATGGCATGATCTTGGCTCATTGTAACCTATGCCTCCTGGGTTCAAGTGATTCTCCTGTCTCAGCCTCCCGAGCAGCTGGGATTACAGGCATGCACCACCCCACCCAGCTGATTTTTTTGTATTTTTGTAGAGACAGGGTTTCTCCATGTTGGCCAGGCTGGTCTTGAACTCCTGACCTCAAGTGATGTACTTGCCTCAGCCTCCCAAAGTGCCGGGATTACAGGTGTGAGCCACTGTGCCTGAGCACCAGTCATTTCTTTAGTCCTCGCAACAACCATACAGAGAAGGTGATATTAGGAAACTGAAGGGTAGAAAAGTTAGGTTCCTCTGTTCAGATTGCACAGCTCCTGGGAGGTGGAGCTGGGATTTGTGTCTTTGCAGCCTCACCTCCTGTCCTGTTCTCTTCAGCGCCCATCCTGCTGGCCTCACCATACTCGAAGCCACGGGACCAGCATGTGCTCCAGATGATGCCACACACTCCATTAGATTTTCCTTCCCTTCTTTCTCTTTTCCTTCCTTCCCTCCTTCCTTTTTTCCCCCTTCCTTTTCTTCAACCTTTAATTTAAATTTGAATTCACCATCTTACTTATTTTTTTTTGTTTTGCTTTGCTAGACTAGGACAGAATATTGGTCATTTCAGTATAACTGGGTTCTTCTTTTGAGGGAAGATTTTTTCTAGCTGTGTCATCTTAGATGACTCACTGAATTCCTTTGAACCTTGTTTTTTTTTTCTCTCTCTCTGTAAAATGAATGCATTAGACAAGATGATGTTGAAAGGCCCTTCCCAGTTTATTGGTACTATGACTGGCTACTTTGGAAGCAGTTTTAGATCATGCTGGTGTTGAGATCTTCATGGATGTGTCAGAGTTGTGGACTCTAACAGCAATTTTGCTTGCTTCAGCTAAGTCTAAAATTTCAAATTTCTGTGAAGAGACATTTATATTCACAAACATTTTTTAAAGAGCTTACAAACGGGGAAACTGAAATTCAAAGACATTGAGTAATTCACCCAAGGTCACTCAGAAGTGGCGGAGCCAAAATTCATATCATACAAGTTTCTGTATCTTCAAAGTCCATATTCTTTGTGGTATCCCAAGCCTACCGGAAGGTACCATACAGAAAGTTAACTGACTGGAATTACTCTTGTTTCTGAAATCTGACTCAAAATTTAGGGTGATAATAATAACTATCATGTGTTATAAGCTCATTATGTCCCAGCCAGTATCAGAGCCTTACATATATCTCATTAAGTCCTCCTACCAAACCAAATGTCAGGTACTATAATCACCCTCTTTTGATACATGAAGAAACTGAGGCACTAGGACTAACATTACTTGCCCAAGTCATAGAACTAATAAGTAAAATTTCTAGGATTTGAACTAGGAACAACTAAAATTTAGCAAAGTTCATGGTTTATTATTTTCACTGGCATATGGCAGTCATGATGCAATTTACGGTTAATAAGCTGCAGTCGTGAGTACTGCAAGAAAAAGTTGGAGAAGGTTAGTGTATGTGAGAGTGAACCGCAAGACAGCCTTGTCACTTAATAATTCGCAGACTCCAATAAAGAAGAAGAGAAGGATATTTTTTAAAAGATTGTTCAGGGATTGTTGAGAACCTGCCTCCTGAACTGTTTCCCCATTAAAATTGCCAGCTTTTGTCATTCAGTCTGACAATGAGAAAATAAATGACAAAGTGAATTTCAAGGGACAGTGTTTGTCAGTGAGGTTTGCAATGTCCTTCACACATTAGGGAGTCCGGCTGACGTGCTGTCCCACCTTGGGCGGAGGGAAACTGAGCTCCAAGGAGAAAGCAGGTAAAGCAAACGAAGAAAAGAAGCTCTGTTTATTTAGTTGGGTCCAGATTCACCGAGAAAAATGACTTCCAGATGCATTCCAAACATGGCAACATGATTAGGATGGAGAAGGCAGTCAAGTCTATTTGGCTTCTGCAGGGGATTTGTTTGTATATTCTAATTGCATCATCATTTAGCTTTATTTCATCTGGAACCTGGCTGCCAGATGAGCGTATTGATTACCTGTCACAGATGCATATTTCTCAATTAAAAGCCATCAAGGCTTGTAAAATCTCAACCATGTCAAGACCAACTAGTGGATTTTAGCACTGCTGTTAGTAGTCACATTAGCCCCTACTACTGAACAGCAGCTACAAGCTTGGCACCTTACATATGCTGGCTTATTTAAATGTCACAACCCCATTCAAAGTAGACGTCGTTATTTTCCATCTTTCTAATGAGGAAGCAGAGGCTCAGAAACATTAAAAACCTTGTCCAAGGCCACAAAACTAGTAAGCAGTGGAGGAAGGATTTGAACCTATGTATGTCACATTCCCATTCCACAGGGCTTTCTGCCACACACAGGCAGTACAGAGTGCATGTTAAGTACTGCCATTGACACACTGCTTGCCTTGAAAAGTCAGCTCTGTCATTTACTAGCTCTGTGATGTTGAACAAGTTTCTTAACATCTCTGTGTCTCAGTGTCCTCATCTGTAGAATCAAGGAAATAACACTTTGTGGAGTTGTTAAGATTAAATGAGCTACTATATGTACAGATGTAGACTACTACCTGAAATAAGGAGTAACCATTATTTTTACATCCTCTGGATACCGTGAAAGACAAACTGTAAATTTTGACCTTCAAAACTTGCTGTAGGCACTTTGTACTTCCAAAGACTTTGCAACAATTCAATTTTCCTCACAGCACCTCAGTGTTTCAGGTCAGACCACTGTCTCTCACTCTCAGACTGAGATGTGAGGAGCAACTGTGCTGAAATATTTCCAGTACATTCAATTTCTGATTCTCCTGATTACGTCTGAATAAACACATAATGATACTATTTATTTTTGTATTCTACATACCTTGAAATCTTAGGTCTACTCCTCACAACAATCCCACAATTAGGTGTTATTGCCTCGATTTCACAAATGAAGATGATGTGAGCCATAAAATCAAGATGATCTTCCCAAGTACATATAGTTGGTAAATAGCGAGGCTTAGATTTGATCCGAGATATGAATGTCTTTCAAATGTGTATGTTTGCATTCAAATTGTGATACTTAAACCATTAATTTCTCCTTGTCTCCCTGGTAAACTCTTCCTCATCTGTTCAGATTAACCAAGACATCTATGACTTTCCTTGACATTTATCTATTGCACATATATTTTATGGAGCCCTCTCTATCTTCCAGATACTTTAGGTGTTGTATGAACAGTGATGAACACAAGACATGGTCTCTGCTTTCATGAAGCTTACAGCTTAAAGACAGTAAGGTACAAGTACACACTTGAAGGGCCCTGAGAAGAAAAAAATAAGGGTGACTGGGTGGAGAAAATTGAGGGCAACAGGCCAGTGGATGACATAGGAGCTCTCTGAGGAAATGACATTTAAGCTAAGACGAAGGATGAGAAGAAGGCGATATGTGAGAATGGGGGAGGGGTTCCTGGAAGCAACAGGAGCATGTGCCCAGAGCTCAAGACACAACAGGAGCATGGGAACCAGAAGAAAGGGGACCGGATGAAAGCATGTATAGCTGGGGAAGAATAAGAAAGAGGGGGTGGAGTTGGGGTGGGGCTCAGTGGAAGCAGTTGGAGAAACGGTCTGGGGCCACAATATTCATGATCTAGTGGACCACAGTGAAGCATTTGGGTTCTGAGTCCTACAGAGCCTCGTGTAGCCCTTGTTGGTAGTCATTATAACATTGCATTGTCATCCTATGCTTACCTGTCTGTTTCTCCCTCCAGACCATAAGCCTCCTAGGTGCCTAGAGTTCAGGACAAAGTGGGCATTCAGCAAATTAGACAAATTAATGAAAACGTTTTATAGCACTGTGATTCTATAAGACAATTATTGAAAGATAAACATAAAAAGCCTAGAGTAAAAAATGAAACTAGTATTTTTGTTCCTGGATGAGAAAAAAAATCCTGGCTAAGAATAAATTATATATATATATATATATACACATACACACATATATTTACATTTACGTAAAAGTTGATAGGTATTATACACTAATAATGATAAGCAACATTATTAGCTTGGCACTAGGCTCACTGCTTTATATGGATTTCATTTAATTTTCATGACAATAAACATGAAGCAGTTACTGCTAATCTCCATTTAGCAGGAAAAAATCCAAAAAACAAAATTGGGACAGAGTTCAAATAAATTACATAGGGTGACAAAGATAATACTTACACTGCTGCAATTCAAATCCAGGTATTTTATTCAAAGTCTACATATGTAACAACTTGGTAACTTAAAATCATCTTTCAAGATAGTTTATCCTTGAATTTTTTTAATTTAAAAAATGTAAACACGGTATGTAAAAGTAATAGTTAATGAAGTGAAATGAGCAGTAGTAAGCATTAGAAAAGAAATTAAATTTTTAACAATAGTAACTGATTAATAGAAAGATAAAGTTTGATGGAATTTTGTTAATGATTAAAAAATAAAAAAAAAGGAAAGCACTCAACGCATTGGGATGGTGTTTTGCAGAGGTATTTGTTTCAATTGTTTTGTTTCCATCACTTTGCTGGTATATTACACAAAAATTAGCAGAAAAATACAAGGGATGGGAGGTTTAATTTTTCTAAGAGAAGCAGATGAACAAGATGGATAAACAAGCCAATATCTGTATTCTTCACACTTTTTCTACTACTATTCCCGGGTGACTGTGTCTAGGCCTTCTTCCTCCCCCTGCTGTCTGAATAACTCCTATTCATTCTTCAGCACCCAGATAAAATTCCTCTCAATCTGGGAAGCCCTACCTGGCCTCCCAGACTTCCACCACAACACATCCATTTCCTTTGTACAGTTTACAAAATGTCATAGTACAATCTAATTATTCTGCTCAATCATTCTCTCTTAATGCAGTGAGAGAAGGGAACAGAAATATGGAATTGTTCAAATATGTAAATACTGATTTAGACGCTTTGATTGAATAACTCCATTAAGTTTTCATAACAGCCTTGTTGTATATACACTTTTATCTCCATTCTACAGATGGGAAAACAGGCTCAACAAAGGCAATTTGCTCATATTAGTGGGAACTGATTACGTATGCTTTGTTTGTTTGTTTGTTTTGAGAGGGAGTCTCACTCGGTAACCAGTGCAGTGGCGCTATCTCAACTCACTGCAACCTCCGCCTCCTGGGCTCAAGTGATTCTCGAGCCTCAGCCTCCCGAGTAGCTGGGACTACAGGCCCACGCCACCACGCCCAGCTAATTTTTTGTATTTTAGTAGAAACAGGGTTTCACCATGTTGCCCAGGGTGGTCTCCAACTCCTGAGCTTAGGTGATCCACCCGCCTCAGCCTCTCAAAGTGCTGGGATTACAGGTGTGAGCCACCGTGCCTGGCCTGATTTAGTATTCTTGAGGAAGATAGGTCAAATCATGAAACACACAGAGTATTGGAGATTTGGGGAAGATAAAAAATATAATAGGAAATAATGATGAGCCACATTCAGAATGAGAGTCCAAGGTGAGTCTCCTGCTCTCAAAGCCCTAGGTTGCTCTGTAACGCTTTACAACCTGTGGGTTAAGAGTGTCACTACTAGAGCCATCCTGCCTGGGTGCAAATCCCAGCTCTAATCCTACCTACCTATATGATCTTGAGCACATTACAAAACCTGAGACTCAGTTTCCTCATCTGTAAAATGGAGATGATAATGATAGCATTCATCTCATAGAAATATTATGAAGATGAGAAGAGATAATATATGTGATGAGTTTAAGCTGTTCTTAGCACTTAGAAGACTTAAAACTGTGAGCTGTTATTATTTGGTCCTTTCAAATAAAAAAGAAAGTTACATGTTAAATAATAAGCATCACCTTATAGAACACAGACAAACTGGGGCCTGATCGGAGTAGGGTGAGCAGAAAAGAGGAAGACTTGCCATGCTGTTGAAAGGGTCCCTACATACATCATTTACCTTGGAGAAGAAAATACTCAGGAGCGACAGGACAGCTACTGTTACATGGCAATTATTCTCTAAAAGGCTGAGCTCTCCAGCTTGCTGAGTTCTCATCAGCATCACCTGTTTATCCTCATAGCAAATGCCACTAGGAGGGAGAGACTCCATTCACATTTTTAATTTAGATTGTTCATTTTACACCCAAGGCGGGGAAAAAGATCAGAAACTGATAGGACTTGACCATGATTACAAAGAGTACAAGAGATGGGATTCAAACCCAGCTTTATCTTGTGCCAAAATGTGTGTCCACAGCCACACGCTGTGCTGCCTCAACAGGTCCACTTCTTCTTTATGACAGTTTGTCAGCTGCTACATTATCCTGACTATGACTAATACCCTCCAACAGCTAAAGGCAGGGGAAGAGAAAGTCAGTTTATTCTGTGCTGTTCCAGAGGGCAGAATGAACATAGTATATAAGGAATAAACTTTGGTTCAACATCAGAAAAGATCTTTCGTTATAATGAAGCACCTATGGGCCCAGGACCCTGGGTTTCAAGCACAAAACTGGGCAACTGTATGGGCAGACACTGAGCGGCAGGGGTTTTTTTTTTTTTTTTTTTTCATACTCCAGCGGTGCCTGGAACTCCAATGAGACAGGAGAACCATCCACTCCCCTGGAAAAGGGGCTGAAACCAGGGGTCCAAGCAGTCTCACTCAGCAGGTCCCACTCCCATGGAGCCCAGCAAGCTAAGAACCACTGGCTTAAATTCTCACTGCCAGCACAGCAGTCTGGAGTTGATCTGGGATGACTGAGCTTGGGGTGACTGCCATTACTGTGGCTTTAGTAGTGCTAAAAGTGTTAAGGAGTGCTAAGGAGACCGGCAGGTTCGGACTTTGCAGTACAGCAAAGCGGCTGTGGCTAGATGGCTTCTTTAGATTCCTCCACTGGGCAGAGTATCTCTGCAGGAAATCCAGCAGCTCCAATCAGGGGCTTACAGACAAAACTCTCACCTCCCTGGGACAGAGCACCTGGCTCAGGGGAGGGGCACCTGGGGTCCCAGCTTCAGCAGACTTAATCTTTCCTGCCTGCTGGCTCTGAAGAGAGCGGCTGATTCTGACAAGGGGAATTCTCCCAGCACACCACACCAGCTCTGCTAAGGGATAGATTGCCTCCTTAAGTGGGTCTCTGACCCCCATGCCTCCTGACTGGGAGAGACCTCCCAACAGGGGTTGACAGACTCCTCATACAGGAGAGCTCTGGCTGGCATTAGGCGAGTGACCCTCCGGGACGAAGCTTCCACAGGAAGGAGCAGGCAGCAATCTTTGCTATTCTGCAGCCTCCACTGGTGATACCCAGGCAAACAGGGTCTGGAGTGGATCTCCAGCAAACTATAGCAGACCATCAGAAGAGGGGCCTGATTATTAGAGGAAAAACTAACAAACAGAAAGCAACAACCACAACAACAAAAAGGCACCCCACCCCCCAACAAAAACCCAATCCAAAGGTCATCAGCCTCAAAGATCAAAGGCAGATAAATCCATGAAGATGAGCAAAAAACAGCACAAAAATGCTGAAAATTTCAAAAGCCAGAATGCCTCTTCTCCAAATGATAGCCACACTTCTCCAGCAAGGGCACAAACCTGGACGGAGAATAAGAGGGATGAATTGACAGAAGTAGGCTTCAGAAGGTGAGTAATAAACTCCTCTGAGCTAAAGGAGCATGTTCTAACCCAATGCAAAGAAGCTAAGAGTCTGGATAAAATGTTACAGGAACTGCTAACTAGAATGACCAATTGAGAGAGGAACATAAATTACCTGATGGAGCTGAAAGACACAACCAGGAGACTTTGTGCAGCATATACAAATCCCAATAGCCACATCGATCAAGCAGAGGTAAGGCTATCAGAGTTTGAAGACCACCTTGCTGAAATAAGGCATGCAGATAAGATTAGAGAGAAAAGAATGAAAAGGAATGAACAAAGCCTCCAAGAAATATGGGACTATGTGAAAAGACCAAACCTACGATTGATTGGAGTACCTGAAAGAAACAGAGAGAATGGAATCAAGTTGGAAAACACACTTCAGGATATTATCCAGGAGAACATCCCCAACCTAGCAAAACAGGCCAACATTCAAATTCAGGAAATACAGAGAACACCACTAAGATACTTCACGAGAAAATCAACCCCAAGACACATAATCATCAGATTTCCCAAACTTGAAATGAAGGAAAAAATCTTAAGGGCAGCCAGAGAGAAAGGTCAGGACACCTACAAACGGAAGCCCATCAGACTAACAGATCTCTCAGCAGGGACCCTACAAGCCAGAAAAGAGTGGGGGCCAATATTCAACATTCTTAAAGAAAATAATTTTCAACCCAGAATTTCATATCCAGCCAAACGAAGCTTCATAAGCAAAGGATAAATAAAATCCTTTACAGACAAGCAAATGCTAAGGGATTTTGTCACCACCAGGCCTGCATTGCAAGAGTTCTTAAAGGAAGCACTAAATATGGAAAGGAAAAACTAGTACCAGCCACTGCAAAAACACACCAAAATATAAACACCAATGACACTGTGAAGAAACTGCATCAACCAGTGTGCAAAATAACCAGCTAGCATCATAATGACAGAAGCAAATTCACACATAACAATATTAACCTTAAATGTAAATGGGCTAAAGGCCCCAACTAAAAGACACAGAATGGCAAATTGGATAAAGAGTCAAGACCCATCAGTGTGCTGTATTCAGGAGACCCAACTCACATGCAAAGACACATATAGGCTCAAAATAAAGGGATGGAGGAATATTTACCAAGCAAATGGAAAGGAAAAAAAAAAATAGGGGTTGCAATCCTAGTCTCTGATAAAACAGACTTTAAACCAACAAGGATCAAAAAAGACAAAGAAGGGCATTACACAACGGTAAAAGGATCAATGCAACAAGAAGAGCTAACTATCCTAAATATATATGCACCCAATACAGGAGCACCCCCAGATTCATAAAGCAAGTTCTTAGAGACCTACAAATAGACTGAGACTCCCACACAATAATAGTGGGAGATTTTAAAACCCCACTGTCAATATTAGACAGATCAACGAGACAAAAAATTAACAAGGATATTCAAGACTTGAACTCGGCTCTGGATCAAGGGGACCTAATAGACCTCTACAGAACTCTGCACCACAAATCAACAGAATACACATTCTTCTCAGCACCACATCATACTTATTGTAAAATTGACCACATAATTGGAAGTAAAACACTCTTCAGCAAATGCAAAAGAACTGAAATCATAACCAACAGTCTCTCAGACCACAGTGCAATCAAATTAGAACTCAGGATTAAGAAACTCACTCAAAATCACACAACTACATGGAAATTGATTAACCTGCTCCTGAATGACTACTGGGAAAATAACGAAATGAAGGCAGAAATAAATAAGTTCTTTGAAACCAATGAGAACAGAGAGACAATGTACCAGAATCTCTGGGACACAGCTAAAGTGGTGTTAAGAGGGAAATTTATAGCACTAAATGCCCACACCGGAAAGCTGGAAAGACCTCAAATCAACACCCTAACATCACAAAATAACTAGGGAAGCAAGAGCAAACAAATTCAAAAGCTACCAGAAGACAAAAAGTAACTAAGATCAGAGCAGAACTGAAGAAGATAGAGACACGAAAATCCCTTCAAAAAATCAATGAATCCAGGAGCTGTTGTTTTGAAAAAATTTTAAAAAAAATACATAGATAGACCACTAGCTAGACAAATAAAGAGTAAAATACAGAAGAATCACTTAGACACAATAAAAAACGAGAAAGGGGATATCACCACTGACCCCACAGAAATACAAACTACTATCAGAGAATGTTATAAACACCTCTAAGCAAATAAACTAGAAAATCTAGAAGAAATAGATAAATTCCTGGATACATACATCATCCCAAGACTAAACCAAGAAGAAACTGAATCTCTGAATAGACCAATAACAAGTACTGAAATTGAGGCAGTAATCAATAGCCTACCAACCAAAAAAAAAAGAAAAAACTAGGACCAGATGGATTCACAGCCGAATTCTACCAGAGGTACAAAGAGGAGCTGGTACCATTCCTTCTGAAGCCATTCCAAATAATCAAGAAAGAGGGACTCCTCCCTAACTGACTTTATGTGGCCAGCATCATTCCGATACCAAAACCTGACAGCGACACAACAAAATAGAAAACTTCAGGCCAATATCCCTGATGAACATCGATGCAAAAATCCTCTATAAAATACTGGCAAACTGACTCCAGCAGCACATCAAAAAGCTTATCCACCATGATCAAGTCATCTTCATCCCTGGGATGCAAGGTTGGTTCAACACACACAAATCGATAAACTTAATCCATCACATAAACAGAACCAATAACAAAAAACACAGGATTATCTCAATAGATACAGAAAAGGTCTTCAACAAAATTCAACAGCCCTTCATGCTAAAAACTCTCAATACACTATGCACTGATGGAACATATCTCAAAATAATAAGAGCTATTTATGACAAACTCATAGCCAATATCATACTGAATGGGCAAAAACTGGAAGCATTCCCTTTGAAAACTGGCACAAGACAAGGATGCCCTCTCTCGCCACTACTATTCAACATAGTATTGGAAGTTCTGGCCAGGGCAATCAGGCAAAAGTAAGAAATAAAGGGTATTCAGATAGGAAGAGAGGAAGTCAAATTGTCTCTGTTTGCAGATGACATGATTGTATATTTAGAAAACCCCATCGTCTCAGCCCAAAACACCTTAAGCTGATAAGCAACGACAGCAAAATCTCAGGATACAAAATCAATGTGCAAAAATAACAAGCATTCCTATACACCAATAATAGGCAAGCAGAGAGCCAAATCATGAATGAAGTTCCACTCACAATTCCTAGAAAGAGAATAAAATACCTAGGAATACAATTTACAAGGGACATGAAAGACCTCTTCAAGGAGAACAACGAACCACTGCTCAAGGAAATAAGAGAGGACACAAACAAATGGAAAAATATTCCATGCTCATCAAAGAATCAATATCATCAAAGTGGCCATACTGCCCAAAGTAATTTAGAGATTCAATGCTATTTCCTTCAAGCTACCATTGACTTTCCTTGCAGAATTACAAAAATTTACTTTAAATTTCATACGGAACCAAAAAAGAGCCTGTATAGCCAAGATACTCCTAAGCAAAAAGAACAAAGCAGGAGGCATCACGCTACCTGACTTCAAACTATACAAGGCTGCAGTAACCAAAACAGCATTCTACTGGTACCAAAACAGATACATAGACCAATGGAACAGAACAGAGACTTCAGAAATAACTCCACACATCTACAACCATCTGATCTACCACTAAGCTGACAAAAACAAGCAATGAGGAAAATATTCTTTATTTAATAAATGGTGCTGGGAAAACTGGCTAGCTATATGCAGAATACTGAAACTGGACCCCTTCCTTAAATCTTATACAAAAATTAACTCAAGGTGGATTAAAGACTTAAATGTAAAACCCAAAACCATAAAAAGCCTAGAAGGAAACCTAGGCAATACCATTCAGGACATAGGCATGGGCAAAGGCTTCATGACTAAAACACCAAATGCCATGGCAACAAAAGCCAAAATTGACAAATGGGATCTAATTAAACTAAAGAGCTTCTGCACAGCTAAAATAACTAGCATCAGAGTGAACAGGCCAACTACAGAATGGGAGAAAAATTTTGCAATCTACCCATCTGACAAAGATCTAATATCCAGAATCTACAAGGAACTTAAACAAACTTACAAGAAAAAAACAAACAACCCCATCAAAAAGTGGGTGAAGGACATGAACAGACACTTCTCTAAAGAAGACATTTATGCAGACAAGAAAAATATGAAAAAAAGCTCATTATCACTGATCATTAGAGAAATGCGAATCAAAGCCACAATGAGATACCAGGTAACGCCAGTCAGAATGGCGATTATTAAAAACTCAGGAAACAATAGATGCTAATGAAGCTGGGGAGAAATAGGAACACTTTACATTGTTGGTGAGAGTGTAAATTAGTACAACCATTGTGGAAGACTGTGGCGATTCCTCAAGGATCTAGAACCAGAAATACCATTTGACCCAGCAATTCCATTACTGGGCATATACCCAAATGATTATAATTCATTCTACTATAAAGACACATGCGCATGTATGTTTATTGCAGCACTATTACAAAAGCAAAGACTTGGAACCAACCCATATGCCCTGCAGTGATAGACTGGAAAAAGAAAATGTGGCACATTTACACCATGGAATGCTATGCAGCCATAAAAAAGAATGAGATCATGTCCTTTGCAGGGACATGGATGAAGATGGAAGCCATAATTCCCAGCAAACTAACACAGGAGCAGAAAACCAAACACTGTATGTTCTCACTCATTAGTGGGAGTTGAACAATGAGAACACATGGACACAGGGAGGGGAACAACACACACCAGGGCCTGTTGGGAGGTGGAGGGAAAGGTTGGGAGAGCATTAGGACAAATACCTAACGCATGCAGGCCTTAAAAACTAGATGATGGGTTGATAGATGCAGCAAACCACCATGGCACATGTATACCTATGTAACAAACCTGCACATTCTGCACATGTATCCCAGAACTTTAAGTAAAGAAAGAAAAAAAAAAGAGAGAGCAACAGTAAATTTTAACTCTACTTCTTACCAGCTGGAGAAACATATATATCAAAATTCTTTAATCCTCAGTTTTCTCATCTGTAACGTTAATATTAGAATCTTTACTACACTTAGTTGTTTGGAGAATAAGATTTTATACAGTAATTGCTGATAGTTGGTGACCCATGCATTTGCTTCTTTTATTTACCCATTTTTTTAAGCAATTGGGGCTATTCAATAACGCAGTGGGAGGTACTGATAACCATTTCCCATTCCACATTACTGGAGGTACATGGGCAGAGGGTGGATGGCTCAACAACAGGCACTGTAGTGCCAACTCAAACCTCGTTGATGGATGAAATTCAGGGCCCTCCAACACTACAATTCTATGAAATTAGAATAATTAGGAATAATAGATTCTAATATGATGAATGATAAAACCAGGATTCAAGGTGGCCTCAACAGTTTTACTGAGGTGTTAAAACATGATAAACGAAAGAAATATAAAGTTTTGCCTTTGAATTAGAAATAAACAATAGCTATAATAATAACACAATCTCGCTTATACAGAATGGAGGGAATATGGTTTGGTCATCGTGCATTGTAGAAAACATGTTAGAAGGTTTTGTCCATCACCTGCTTAGTATGTGACTTGATTTCTAAAACAAATAGACAAACAACAACAAAATGACCTTGACTAATCTAGGCTGCATTGCACTTTTAGAGACTTAGTACCTAGGCCAGGGAACTTATTGTCCCATTATAATAACACATATATCTTTACTGGGATTTTCTTCTAAAGTCAACACATAGGTGAAAATTTCACATAGTCAAAAGTAACTTAAAAATCCTTCTATCAAACACAAGGAACAGTATACATGATTTGAGGTATGCAACTGTGTTTCCTAACTCTTAGGTACAACAGAATTTGAGCACTACAGGGCTAAATTACACCCCAAATAAAAGTCTAACCATTTTACCTTAAAAAAAAAATAACAAATCCCTGATGGAAAATGAGAAACGGATACAGGAATTCAAGAGTATTTTTGTTTGCCTTCAGGGTTTACTTGATTTTTAAAAAATCTTTAATCCTTTATAATTTAAACATAGGTTTTAGTACAGATTATGTGAAATAATATATATTGATCTTAACTAAGCTTTTAATTTTAAAAGGAAAATTGACAAATTAAATATTGGTGACCAGGATTATGATGGATTGGAGATCACGCCATAAAGCAGGATTCCACCAACTGTATCTATGGCCTCTGGGCCACATGTGATCCGCAGCCTGTTTTTGTACAACTACCAGTGAAAGTGGTTTACATAGTATTACAGGCTGTAGAAGTCTTTTGGAAAGAAGAAGAACGTGTGGTCTGCAAAGCCTAAACTAGGACTGTACCTGCAGAGGAGACAGCTTCTCTCTCCCATGTCTGGTTTATGTCCCCACTCTTTGACATGCCTTATAATCATACTTCTCCAGTATGTCCAGTGTCACCCTTTGCTCTTGAAAGACCAAATGGTCTGAAGTTCTTCACCCAGGTTGTGCTGTTTCACTCCTCTCAGTCTTGGCGGGTGCTATTGCCCAGTAAAATTCATCAGCCTTTGACATTTCAGCTTTCCCCAAAACTCCTCACTGAACCCTCCTCCTCCTTTGTGCTCAATAGTGCACATTCTAACATTCTTCATTTTTAACAGACTGGACCTAACTGAATGCATCTGCTTCTTTATGGAATCCGTAGTTGAGATGTAGACTCCTTTAAAACAGCCATAAGTTACTCATTTGTCTCTTTAGCACCTAACTCTGTACCTGGTACTGGTAGGCTCTTAGTAAATGTTTTCTAGAGTAAATATATTTAACTGTTAGCAGAGCTGCTGGTGCAGGAGGGAGTAAGCTGCTTTGGGAAGATTTTAGATAGCAAAACTGAGAAAAAAGAAGGGAAGTTACAGTTAGGAAGAAAGTGACTTGTCCAAACTGTCACAGAGAGCCAGGAATAGATAAAATAATAGATTTCAGCATTAAGAAAACCAGTGGTGGCAGACGCCTGTAATCCCAGCTATTCTGGAGGCTGAGGCAGGAGAATCGCTTGAACTCAGGAGGCAGAGGTTGCAGTGAGCCAAGATCTCGCCACGGCAATCCAGCCTGGGTGACACAGTTAGACTTTGTCACAACAACAACAACACAAGAAAATCAGAGTTTGAATGCTGTCAACATGTCTTAATTTCACTCTAATAATTTAAATGAAAGAATTCACCTTTAAAGCTAGTGTTTACATCTCTATCCTGGAGATATTAATACCTGCTTCACAGGGTCATCAGGAAGGTTAAGACCATGTGTGCTAGAAAGGTCAACATAATGTCTTGCACACGGTAGGCGATCCATATCCTTTTGCCCCTCCCTAATTTCTCATGCCCCTCCAGCTCCTCTCCAATGCCACATCTCTTCTTACTGCACCTGAAAAAAGCAAGTGAATTACAACTAAACTGCTCTAAACATTTCATCAGTTTCCCCCTCACTTAATATACCACCCCTAGAAGATAAATGCTAGAGTTCTGCCAACAAAGGCAGGCTATGCATCCAGAGAAGACAGTTCATAGTAATTTTGTCAGCAAAATTGTAACAATAAAGGCCCAAACAACACTTCATCTCTCTGTCAGTTGTCTTGAAAGGGCAGATTACTTTTTCCTCAATCTTGGCACATCCAATTAAGGTAGACTTACAAGCCAGGCAGGTGTAAAGTGCAAGCCAGCACTTGTTCACATTAGCAATTATCAATGGAAAACTACATGAATGCAAAGTCTTGGCACTGCTGTTGCCCTGGCAACCATTAGCCTGTGAAAGCAAGGCAGACACTAACATGACAGCTTGACATCGTTGCCCAGTAAAAAGATGGCTTCTCTTTCTCCATTTTCCCCGGTTATTTTTGTGTTTGTCATTGTAACCCCCAAAAGACAACAATTCTTCTTACCTACTTTACACTTGGGAAGTTATCCAAGTCTAAAATTGATAATTACATGTCTTCGATGAATAGGTATTGAACACCTACTATGTGCCAGACACTGTGCAAGGTATGTAATTTTCAATCTAGAAGAGTAACATCATTTTCATGTCCTCTCTTCCTTCTTTTCTTGCTTCTTTTTTCCTTCTTTCCTTCCTTGCGTCCTTCATCCATTGACTCAACAAGCATTATTAAGGAAATCTTGTATGCAAGGCACTGTACGTGACACAGCTAATTCAGAGATAAATAGTCCTTGTCTTTACAAAGTTTTCAGTCACATTGATAAGCCATAAGAACACAAGAACCATAGATAAAAACAAATGTGCTCATAAGAAAGGTTAAAAATAACATAAGGATGTTGTGAAGCCAAAATAAGAAAGTGTTTCAGAGATTCAAAAAGGCAGAAATAGAAAAGCAAAATAAAAATGTGAGGTATTATATTTATAGCTCACATTGCTAGTTTATTCTTTTATTAATTCATCCATTTATTTCTACATTTGTTTTTGAATAAGGTAGAACAACAATTATTCAACAAAGAATAATTTCCACTTGCTTTTGGGTGGAAATTAATCTTTATTGAATTTATTTTACCCTACCTCTTCCAAAAATAAATGTAGAAGTAAATGGACGAATGGATAAAAGAATGAACTAGCAATGTGAAATCTGTACCACAAACACCTATGACAAAAGTTTATCTATATAAGAAACCCCTGAACTTAAAATAAAAATTATTTTTTTAGAAAAATAATAATTTTGGAAAGAAAGAGAGGATAAAAGTTAAATAAAGGGTGGCTAAGGATAGGCTGGGGAAGAAATTAACATTTACTAAACCCAGAAACAAACCAGACAGTATATCTGTTCTCATTTGACTTTCACAAGACTTAGGAAGACAATTTTGTCTGCTTTTTTCTCCTTCTCTACCTCCTCCTCATTTCTCTCCCTTTCCTCTTCCTTCACCTCCTTCTTATTATGAATAATTTTACTTTATAGGTTATCAGATTGAAAAAATTTTGTCTCAGTGAAGCTAAGTCAGTTGGAATCAACAATGCCTATATTCAACCAAATGTCTGACTTCAGAGCCTGTATTTCTATGTCATGAGGGAGAGAGAGAATGCAAATTTATAAAACATAGAAAGAAATGTACCAAAAGCAAGGTGCTTGAGAGAAAGACAATAATAATCAGTGGCACTCAGGCATATTTATTTCCTTTGTAAGGTCTTGATTCTGGAATATTTTACCTTTAATTTAGCAGAGGCTCTGTCAACCAAAAACCACCAATTGCCTCTTGACACTGTTGTTAGTTCAGTAACAATCCCCCTAGAAAAAGCTTTCAAAGAGACTCAGCAATGAAAGGAAAAGTAAAATCAGTGAAAAGAAAAGAATTATTTTAAATAGGGTTGCATGGTAGTTAGACACACGGTATGCTGAAACTTCTCATGGTGACACTGTGAAGGAAGCAATGCAGGAACGGGCACAGTGCTTGTTTTATAAGAAACTAGGCTCAAGTAGGCTAACTGACTTGTCTATGCTCACATGTCTCTTACTGGGTTAAAACCACCATGCCCTTCTCTTGTTATGTGTATTGGCAAAGAGGAATTTGCGAATAAACTTTAATTTCAGAAAATGTGGTTGTGCATCCTTGACAATGAATACTATGGGCTCAGAATTAGTATTCTGGGACCTGGCTGCTCAAAGTGTGATCCAAATACTAGCAGCATCAGCATCACCTGGGATCTTGTTTGAAATGTAGATTCTCAGAATCTGCATTTTAACAAAATCTCAGGTGATCTGTACATTTATTAAAGTTTGAGAAGCCCTGAGAAGAAGTGCCGTATATTACTAAAAAAAAAAAAAAAAAAAAAAAAAAAAAAAAAAAAAAAAAGATGAGCTCTGGGGCTACGTCTGCCTGGGGTTTATATTCAATACAAATATATGAGCCATGGGCATAGCTTGGACAGTTAGGAAAGAAAAGGAAAGCATTCAGGAAGAAACAGCAGCATGGGTGAAAGTGCAGACGTATGACTGGGCTGGGCATGTACCAGGGACAGCATGTGTCTTTATGTGGCTGAAATGTAACGACAGGCTAGAGATAGGACTCAGGTGCCAGGATGAGTATTCAATTGTTATTCTGCGGTCAATGGGCAACAATTGATCTCCAATATCACAACCAGAACAAAAACAGTAATTCTTTTGTATATTATTTTAGAGTTTCACTGTATCTGGCACAAAGGTACTCAATAAATACTTGCTGACTTCCTGAATCAAGATCAAATATTTTCATGCCATCATATCATGGGGTGTTCCTAACAACTCTGAGAAATAAAACAATCAAAAATCAACAACAAACATAAATTGTGTTCTACATTTTTATTATTGCCATCTTCCTCCATTTAATAGAAAATGGAAATTCAGATGAGGAAATGATTTCCATATAGTGATACTGCTAGTAATTGCTTAATTCAGATCTCAAATTCAAACTTTTTGACTCCAAAACATATGCTCTTTTTCCTCAATAAGGCCTCAATTATTTGGCTTCCTGCTTTTGTAAGTTCTCAACTGAGACCTCATACTGGGAACTAAGGAAGCACAGAGAATGAGGTAATTAAAAGATGTCTAGTGTGTCACAGTAACCAGTCTTTTCCTTAGCAGAAGTCTACCACGAAGCTCTCAGTGTCACCAATCCTCATTGTCTCCCAAAGGCAGGCTAGTGTCCTCTGCTGTTTGGAGCCAACAAGCTTCCTTTCCATACTTTGTTCTGCTGTCATGGTGGGCATCATGCCTCCTGATAATTCAAGAACCAGTTTCCTTTCCCCAGTTCTAACTAATACTTATTGTATTGCTTTTGCACTCAGAGAGAACGGCATATATTACATTTGCAGAACTTAAAACAATTCAACCTATAGAGGGGAAAAACTATTAAAGCAAATAACTTGGCAACCAAAGATTTAATATATTAATATAAGGCCATATGTCATCTTTCCAAGCCTATTTCAGATTACTGATGATTGGAAATTGCCTCCATCAAGTTTATAAGTAGTGCATGAAAAAAAAAAAAAGAATTCTCAGGATGAGAAACAATTGTTTTAGGAGACCGTCTGGGGTCATGAAAGAGTTAGACTTGGGAATCAAACTAAAATAAACCCTGGTTCTGGCATTAATGCCAACCCACTCCCATGAACTGACTGGTTAATGCTTACCAGACACTTAGAATGTGCCAGAGAAAGTAAGTGCTCTCCATAGGTATTATTTTATTTAATCCTCACAATTACCCTGTTATTATTCCCACTTTGTTCCTGAAGATGTAAAGTCAAGAGGTTTCAGAACTTGCTCCAGTCACACAGTTGAAAAGAGGTAGACTACTTTTTCCAACCAGTCCTGTGGAACTCTGGAGTAACAACCAGAAGCCACTCACTTGACCATTACATTATGTGGTTCCTATGTGACCTCTGACTTCCAAACAGTTTCAAGACCTCTCAAACACATGGTTACCCCAATTTTAAAAAACCAAAATGATAATAAATATATGCAAAGATCAATAGCTAATGCATATAAAATTGCCAGAGGAATGCAAGGCACACAGTAAATACCCAATAAATACCAATATTCATGTCTTTCTTCTTGCCTTAGAAATCCTAGGAGGAAAAAGAAATACATGTCATCTAAATATTATCTTTGTAAGACTTGAAATGGTTTTGATTACAAATAACATCATTTTTACTGCAGCTAATCAATCACATCTTGAGTTCCCATACCAGCTTTGTAGGCAGCTCTGATGGGACCGTGGGATCTGTTTCAGAACACAGAAGCTTTCTCTTTTCTTTTTTTTTTTTTTTCCCAGAGTTGGAGTCAATAGTGGTTAGTACTTGAAAGTCTCTGTGGTGCCACATGCCTGCTAAGTGACACCAAATATACTAGCGACAGGCTTGGCAAAGCAACTTTGATTTGGAGTGCCTCTGATGTTTATTCTTGGCTCTGGATTTGGATAATCTGTGGCAAAGGTTTCTGTTTCCTCATGACCCTTTTCCCTTCAATTTACTTCACTTTGGGAGGGAGATGTAACACAAATGAACCTCTGCCAGAGGTTTTTTGATTTTCAGCAGTAAAATGGAAAGAACACCACCTATTTTTCAGCTTTGCTGTGAGAAGCTAATGAGATAAATGCCATCACAGGCTTAATTCATTGTAGGTGGTAACTAGTCCTTAGTTTCTGTTTTCAAAGGTTTTGAGTCATAAGAGGGCTGCAAGCCAGCTTTTTCTTTGCCTTTGGAAAAGTTCAGCAAATGATCATTTCAAATAAAATATTATGTAAATTATTTTCTTGAGAATGCATTTTCTTCCATGTAAATGAAGAGGTCCAAAGACAGTTTTTCTATTTGAATATAAGTGCTTATAGATGAATTGACGGCAAACTCATTTTCAGAAAGTTCATGAAAGATTCTTATAAGGGCCAGAGTCCGTAAATAGAATTCAATGGGAAGGAGAGAGTCAAGCAGTGAGAGGCATTAAGTCCAGAGAAGACATATCAGGGATTTGTTTGCTATCATTAAATAAATGGGCAGGTATTCTTAGGAGAAGCCAAATTTGGAACGCAGTTCTCTGAAGTAGGTACATGTAGAGAGAAATGGAACAACAAAACCTGACAGGGTCCCAGGGAATGAGACAAGATGAAAAGATGCTCTGAGTAATATGATCATATCCTAACCTAACAGGAAAGATCAAAGACCATGTACTCCTGAAATTCAGCTGTGACCTACTAGGAAATAGCACATTTTAAGATGTTTGGCTAAACCCCAGCTATGGTATTTCAGAACTATATGATCTCTTCATCACCATGGAACTCAGTTTATTTTTCATTTATTAAATGGGGATAATACCTAATATGACATTTTATTTGGCACTTATGGTGAATTTTCAAGAATTTTTCAGGTATGATTTTAATGACTTCTCTATAACAAATTTTTTAGACAGCTGTTTCTATGTCAATATTTTATATGAGGAAACAAGCTTAGACACTTAATCAAGTGTATTAGGCCATTCTTGCATGGCTATAAAGATACCTGAAAATGTGGAAGTGACTTTGGAACTGGGTAACGGGCAGAGGTTAGAAAAGTTTGGAGGGCTCAGAAGAAGACAGGATGATGCAGGAAAGTTTGAAATTTCTTAGAGACTGGTTAAATGGTTTTGATCAAAATTCTGATAGTAATATGGACAGTGAAGTCTAGGCTGTTGATGTTTCAGAAGGAAATGAGGAACTTATTAAGAACTGAAGCAAAGATCACGCACGCTATGCCTTAGCAAAGAACTTGGTTGCTTTCTGTGCATGCCCTAGGGATCTATGGAAGTGTGAAATTAAGAGTAATAATTTAGGGTATGTGGCCAAAGAAATTTCTGAGCAGCAAAGTGTTCAAGATGTGGCCTGGCTGCTTCCTACAATAGATGTGGGAGCAAAAAAAATGACTTAAGGCTGGAACTTACATTTAAAAGGGAAGCAGAGTGTAAAAGTTTGAAAAATTTGGAGGCTGACTATGTGGCAAAGAAAGAAAAATCTTTCTCAGGAGAGGAATTCAAGCAGGCTATGGAACAATTTGCTAGACATATTTGCATGACTACAAAGAAGCCAGGTGTTAATAGTCAACACAATGGAAAAAAATACCTCAAAGACATTTCAGAGATTGAAAAAGGAGCCTTTTCCATCACAGGCCCTGAGACCTAGGAGGATGGAATGGTTTCCTGGGCTGGGCCCAGGGCTGTGCCTGAGGACACTGCTTCCTGCATCCCAGCTGCTCTGGCCCCAGTCTCAGCTCAAAGTGCCCCAGATACAGCTCCAGCTGCTGCTTCAGAAGGTGCAAGCCATAAGCCTTGGCAATTTTTATGTGGTGTTAAGCCTACAGGTACACAGAGTGCAAGAGTTGTGGGGGCTTGGCAACCTCTCCATAGATTTCAGATGAAGTATGGGAAAGCCTGGGTATCCAGGCAGAAGACTGCTGGAGGGGCAGAGCCCTCACAAAGAACCTCTACTAGAGCAGTGCTAAGTGGAAATGTGGAGTTGGAAGTCTCACACAGAAGCCCCACTGGGGTACTGCCTAGTGGAGCTGTGGGATGGGGCTCTCCATTCTCTAGACCCCAGAATGGCAGATCCACTGGTAGCTTGCACTCTCAGCATGAAAAAGCCACAGGCACTCAGCCCCAGCCATATGAAAGTATGCTTGGGAGCTTAATCCTGCAAAGCCACAGGGATAGAGCTACCTAAAGCCTTGCAAGAACTGGAAGTTCTCCTATACACCCCATTCAGCATTATGCCCTAGATGTGGGACATGGAGTCAAGGGAGATTATGTTGGATCTTTAAGGTTTAATGACTGCCTGTTGAGTTTCAAACTTGCATGGAATCTGTAGCTCCTTTCTTTGGCTGTTTTCTCACTTTAGAATGGAAATATTTATTGAATGTTTACATCCCCTTTTTATATTGGAAGTAAATAACTTATTTTTGATTTTACAGGCTCATAAGTGGAAGAGACTTGCTTTGTCTCAGATGAACTTCAGACTTTGGACTTTTGAGTTAACACTGGAATAAATTAAGACTTTGAGGGAATGATGGGGAAGGCATGACTGTATTTTGCAATGTGAGAAGAACGGGAGATCTGAGAAGCCAGGGGCGGAATAATATAGTTTGAATACGTGTCCCCATCAAATCTCATGTTGAATTCTAATCTCCAGTGTTTGAGGTGGGGCCTGGTGGGAGGTGTTTGGGTCATGGAGGTGAATCCTTCATGGCTTGGTGCTGTCCTTATGATAGTGAATGACTTCTTGGGAAATCTTATGCTTTAAAAGTGTGTGGCACCTCCTCCCCAACTCTGCCTCTTGCTCTCTCTCTTACTATGTGATGTAACTGTTCCTCCTTCACCTTCTGCCATGAATAAAAGTTCCCTGAGGCCTTGCCAGGAGCTAAGCAGATGCTGGCACCATGCTTCCTATACATCCTGCAAAAGCATGAGTCAATTAAACCTCTTTTATTTACAGATACATATTTATAGGAATTTCATTATAGTAATGCAAGAATGACCAAATATGTCAAGAAACTTGTGAATCTCTACAGTTAACAAGTGGCAGAGTCTAGACTAACACCACAGATTTGTGTGATTCTAAAACTTGTCCTCTTCATACTATGTGACACTAAGCCACTCAGAGAGGTGCATAAGATAGGGAGCATGGGAGCGAGTGGCAGCGTGTCTAGCACATAACTGACACTCAAAAATGCTTGCTAAATCTTAGACTTGAATGACAAAGAACAACCAATCTTGTATTACATATCATATATAATTGATTTTAAAGTGACATAAGAGGTGGTTTGGTAAGCATACTATGTACTATGAATGAAAAGTAGTCACTATGAGGGATTGCCCTTGTTTAAGGTATTTCTAAACTCTCCCTGGTGAATCAAAATTGTAGTTTGAAATGCAGACCGGTACTTATTTACATTGTATATGTCTTGTTTATAATATATTTATATTATTTATAACATAACATAAAAATAAAAATTTGTTATTGTTATTTAACTAATTTACTCCAATTGTTATGTTTTAGAAGGGAGCTTGGAAGTTTAAAATGGCCATTTTGGGAATTAAGGTGGATAACTTAGGGGTGGGTTGTGGAGTGAATGGAGAGAGTGAGGGAAGGAGCAGCTCAAATAAAAACATCCATATACCATAAAATTCTGCTCTACTGTTGCCAAAGATGCTGTTTTATGTATTAGATTTCTTCTTCAAACTTTGACATCCAAAAGATTCTACTTTTAAGAAGACATTTAAAGGCCATTTGTGTAGCGAAAACAAACAAACAAACTTGGGCTTATGTATTAGGAAGGTCTGGAAATGAAACCCATCTTCACTTCCACACTGAGTTGTGTAAGCTTGCTTGCCCTCTGAGTTAATTACTGTCAAGGGGGAGAGCAGTTTTTTCCTTAACTTTTCTTGCAAATGTTAAATGAGGTGATGGACATGAAAGCACCCCTAACACAGTGTCTGCATGGTAATGATGCAAACAATATCTACACCCTGACTTTTTCTTAGGTTTCCTGATTCTTGCTTATAAAAACAATGGCTCAGAGGTTCTAACAGATGTTATGACCTTTCTACCACACTGCTTCTTTTTCTGATATGAATCACTCATCATTTTGGAACATAATTTAATTTTAAAAGTACGATAGTGTGAGCAATTGAGGCCCAGTTGAAGGCATTGAATCAGAAAAAGGTCATGTTAACACATAAACATTGAAAATAATGATAATTAGGCAGGGAAAATAGCAAAACATATTAAAAAGGCAAGGAACAATTTTTAAATGTTAACATCCCAATGTAGTAATATTTACACTATATTTAATAGTTGTATTTCAAGCCAGAATTCTGGTGCAAAAAGGAAGAAAAGGATCTACTCAGCAGCAACTCCAGAAACACACACATGTGCACACACACAATCATACATGCATAGGTACACAAATGAGTGACTGCTATTTTAAAATGTGGTTATTACTAATTATTTTCACACTCCTCAGAACCATTTACACAATAAATGTCTAACAAGTTAAAAAAAAAATCAGCACCGAGAAGAAAACAGGATACCATAATAGGCAGGATTTAATTTGGTGTTTGACAAATCTCAGAGGTTCAGCAATATGATCTAGATGTGTATATGAAGCCCTTCATTCTGAAAAAGACATCTTTGGAAAACAAGTTTAAAGCATGGGCTTTGGCATCAACATCCAGGGCTTTGAATCTATTGTTTGTTGGCTGTGTAAGTGATTTAACCCCTCTGAGCCTATGTTTTCTCATCTGCAAAATGGGAATGAAATTAACATGAGTCATAAAGAGTAGCTCAAGTTAATAAAGCCACAAGCATAACACGTGACACATAGTAATCAATTATAAATTTTATTTCTCTTCTCCTAGCTCCTCTTCTGAGGTGCCAGGAAGTACTCATTTCATCAGGCATATTGACTAATCCTTTTAAGTATCATGCTTAGTGAGTAATATTCATGTTTGATGTTATATAATTTTTATATAATACATGTTTAAGTTGCAAAACACTTCCATAACTATTATCTAAATCGGGCTTCACCAAGATTCTATGATCTTGCCAATACCAATGATGGTGCCAATACCAATTGATGATGATGCCAATACCAATGGGGCAAAAAAACAAAGGCACAGGATACAAATTAGAGTTGATCTACAACTAGACCCTAAGTCTTCCGGTTCTTAGAAACACAGTGTTCTGCTTTTAGACACGACAAAGTAATTAGTACTAAACTTGCCTTCCCACTGAAACTCAAAAACAAAAACTACACAACTTAAAATCTATGAAGAAAATGTTTTTAGACACTGAAAAACAGGCAATGAAGGACAGTATTCCTTGAGAGATGATCACCAAATCATCATGAGCTAAATATTTGCACCAGCTTTCTGCTTACGGCCATTTTCTGGACTGCAGTACAGCAAAGTAGACCCCGAAACAGAGCATTGCTAAAGAGGCAAAAACTAGATTTGGGGCTACTGATGTGGGTGATATTTGAGAGACAGAGTGCTAGAGAAAATGAAAATGTTCAGAGGGTGACCATAAACGTATGAGGGACAGTTTCTTATGGGGCTATTATCAAGTGTTAGGCTAGTCATAATCAAGAAAAGTGTACACTTAGCCTGGAAGAGAGCAGCTGCCACAAGGCTGAGCACTAAGCAGAAGTACTAATGAAGGCATAGGACAGTGGATGTTCAAGTTTTGTCCTATCCAGAGTGTAAGGATCTTGCTGAGGACCTCTGGCACCCAGTTAAGACCCCAAATATGCAGAAGCAAGGAAAAGTATAGAGTAAAAATGAACAAAAACAATAATAATAGATCAATTAACTAAGCCAAAATTAAGTTCTTTGCAAACATTTAGAAAAAAAAAAACAGAAAAAAAAACAGATAATCCCCAAGAAAGATTGTCAAGAACAAATACTGTAAAGTAAGTCTGTGAGTCAGTTTTATCCTTCCTAATCTTTCAACTACACTATTCTCTCTCATTAACAGGGATGGGGACCTAGAGGCAGTCCCTTCCTTTACGGCTTATGACTTCCCTTTTCCAATAGACTAATAGTTTCTAAATTAGAAAAAGTACCAGTAAAGCCACATATTTCTATGGCATTGTACGTCTTAAAACATACCCTTCTACGTCATCTTTTCTCATATAACTCATATAACTCCTATGGAAAAGGCAAAGCAGGTTTCCATGAAACAAAGCTAGTAGAAGCTCAGAGCATGGCCAAGTTCACAAAGCTAGGAAGTAACTGAGGCAAAACAAGAGCCAATATTTTAACTCTAGTCCTGTTTTCATATTGAAAACAAAAAAATCAGAAAAGTGTTTAGTTCTGAGGACTTTTTCCCACCATCTATCAAGAATCATAATTGGCCAAGAATGATTCCATTTCCTTGATGTTAATTTGTTTAATACTAAGAGAAGAAAATTTTCAATATTATTATTATTTTATTTTTTATTTTTTCTCGCCCTGTCAGTCAGGCTGGAGTGCAGTGGCGAGATCTTGGCTTACTGCAAGCTCCACCCCCTGGGTTCACACCATTCTCCTGCCTCAGCCTCCCCAGTAGCTGGGACTACAGACACCCGCCACCATGCCCGGATAATTTTTTTTTTTTTTTTTGTATTTTTAGTAGAGACAGAGTTTCACAATGTTAGCCAGGATGGTCCCCATCTCCTGATCTTGTGATCTGCCCAACTCGGCCTCCCAAAGTGCTGGGATTACAGGCATCAGCCACCACACCCGGCCTTTTTCATTATTATAAACAGTCAACATGCACCAACAAACAAGACCCTATGTCTCAGCCAGATTGCAAGTTCTTTTCTTCTCATTGTCTTTTTAGTTTCAAATTAAATAGAACATAGTGGTAAACTTTACAGGTTGGCTTAACAACTAAAATGAAATGTAAACATATATGAAATCCTAAAGAAAATTAAGATTCCATCTAAATTCATCTCTTTATTTTAGTGAGCTCATTAGTCAACAAGAAATGAATGAAACTGTAACAAGGTAACATGAGTCACTAACAAAATAACATATCAATCATTTTTAATTAGCATACTTTCATAATCTCAAATAGTTTTCTTTCCATTTTAAAGAAGTCCTTTCAGCTGCTTTTTAATTTTTGTTCTGAATTCAAAAGATAAGAATCCTAATTACAGTTTGTTTTTTAGTTTAGCTTTTTTTTTTCCTGTTTTAAGAGTGAGGAAAATGAGGAAAGGAGAATCATATTGCTGCCTGAAGACAGACTCACAGTAGAAAGGTTAGAGTTCTGTAGTTACTCTGGGAAGACTTTAGCTCTTCTAGATGATATCACACTCTCATCATCTTCACTTCCCCCTTTCTTTAGCTTTATTTTCAAAACACATGCTGGAGCCAGATTGCTTGGGTTCAAATCCTTACCAGGTGCATGACCTCGGGCAAGTGATTTAACTTATCAGAGCTTCAGTTTCCTCACTTGTAAAACAGGGTGGTTGTAGAGTGTATGGCTCTACAAGTGTTTGCTATTGGTATTATTATTATCCAGTTTCTTCACTGTTGTCCCCTCCTCTCCATTCCTTGATAACACCTTAATTCAGAGAAGCCACTGGCAAAATTTTTAAGACCTTGGGTTTTGGCATCAGGAAATTTAGGTTTGAACTGTGACCACACCACTCATCTGCTGTATGATTTTCAGCAATTTACTCTACTTTTCTGAACTTCAATTTCATTATCTTTAAATTGAGGATAATATTTGCTTCCATCTCTGAGGGATGTTCTTCCACTTTGCCCAAGCTATTCTTTCCCTGACTATACCCTAATTCTATGCACTCACTCAGCTGCCTTGATTCAAAAGCTAACTCCAGTCTGCGACTCTCTCAACTTGCCCCTTTTGCAAATAATCATAGCCCAATTTCAGTGCATTTCTTCTCTTTTTATCTTGGGTTACGGCTGTTTATAAAGATCACATGTCTTTCCTCTTAATCTACAAGCTGCCGAAAGGAACAACTCAAGTCATACTCTCCTCACTCAAGTCTTGATTGTTAACGAAATGCATTTGGCTCCAAAAGATATGGGCTCCAATGGAGAAGCTTATGAGTGCTGCCATAGAAATGAAGTGACCATAAGGTAATTCCCAAAATGAAGGGATGCAACACTGCACCTCATATCAGGGTTACATACATTACCTCCCTAACTTCTTTTCTGATCTAAACTGTATCCGATGGCAAAAACAGCCTTCTAATGTTATTTCACCTAGTCACTGAATTGCAAAATCCTTTCCCATTGTTAGTATGTCCTTTGATTTTTTTTTTTCATATTTCTGCCTCCACCTTCAAATCCCTTGGGAACACTTCGCTAATTCTTTCCTGGACCTTCTCATTCACCCATGCTTTCATCTATCCATCCATCCATCCATCCATCCATCCATCCATCCATCCATTCAACCATCCAATAGAAAATGGACAAGCTGGCCAGGTGCGGTGGCTCACGCCTGTATACCAGCACTTTGGGAGGCCGAGACGGGCGGATCACCTGAGGTCAAGAGTTCAAGAACAGCCTGGCCAACATGGTGAAACCCCAACTCTACTAAAAATACAAAAAAAAAAAAATGAAAAATTTAGCCAGTCATGTTGGTACATGCCTGTAATCCCAGCTACTTGGGAGGCTGAGACAGAATCGCTGAAACCCAAGAGATGGAGGTTGCAGTGAGCCAAGATTCCACCAATGCACCCCAGTCTGGGTGACAGAGCAAGACACCATCTCAAAAACAAAACAAAACAAAACAAACAAAAAACACATTATTTTTACTAACTTTTTGAAAGCTTAATAATTTATAAATACAAAAGTGAAAATATGACAAGTATGTAAGTCATAAAGTAATAAAATAAAAACCAATGAACCCAACACGCTATTTAAACCTATTTAAGAAGTGGAACTTTTGCTCTATCTATATTTTCCTCCCATCTAAATTGCTGACCCCCATATTACTGCTTAGAGGTAAACATTTTTCTAATTTCTAAAAATAATCCCATTGCTTAAAAAAGTTATATATACATATAATGAAAAGCTATAATGATATAATGAACATATATATATCTCTATTGTTTGCTCAATTTTAAGCTTTATGAAAATGATATAGTAAGTAATCTTCAATAATTTGCTTTTTATCTTCAGCATGCTTCTAAGGAATATCCATTTTGCAGCTGTAAATCTCTCTCATTTCTTCTGCTGAATATCATTCCATTGTGTGACTATAGTACAATTTATTATATAACTCATTCTCTAGTTGATAGACACTTAGGTTGTTTCTATGTTGTTATTATCAACAGTGCTGCTATAATCTTTTTTATTTGTATATGTCTCCTGGTGCATATGGGCAAGAATATATGTCTAGAATTATAATTACTGAATTATAGAGAATGCAGATGTTCTGTACACAATGATGCCAAGTTGCTTTCCAAATGTTTGAACCAATGTACACTTCTACAGCAACATATGAGCCCCCTTTGAATCCCATCTACTCCAAACCTTGGTATATCAGATTTCCCAATTTTTGCCAGTTTGGTAAGTATAAATTAATATCTCACTGAGGTATTAATTTGTATTTTTCTAATTACTAATCAGAATGAGCATCTTTTTTTGTGGCAAATAACATGTGACATAGGTTCTGCCCTCTTACAAATTTTTAAATATGTAGTACAATATTGTTAACTACATGTATGTTGTTGTTCAGCAGATTTCTAGAATTTTTTTCATTTAACATGCCTGAAACTCTATAGCCATGAACAGCAACTCCTTATTTCTCCCACCCTCAAGGCCCTGGCAACCCTCATGCTGGTATCTACTTCTATAAGTTGGACTATTGTAGATTCATCATATAAATTGAATCACACAGTATTTGTCCTTCTGTGACTGGTTAATTTCACTTAATCACTTCAAGGTTTATCCATGTTATCATACGGTGTGCAGAATTTTTTCTTTTTTTTCTTTTTTTTCTTTTTTTTTTCTTTGAGACAGAATCTCTGTTGCCCAGGCTGGAGTGCAGTGGCACAATCTTGGCTCACTGCAACCTCCACCTCCCAGATTCAAGCAATTCTCCTATCTCAGCCTCCCAAGTAGCTGGGATTAGAGGCACAGGCCACCATGCCCGGGTAACTTTTGTATTTTTAGTAGAGATGGGGTTTTGCCGTGTTGGCCAGGTTGTTCTCGAACTCCCGACCTCAGGTGATCTGCCCACCTTGGCCTCCCAAAGTGCTGGGATTACAGGCTTGAGCAACCGTGCCTGGCCAGAATTTTTTCTTTTTTAAGAATAAATAATATTCCATTATATGTATTTACATATTTTTTAAACAACTCATCTGTTGATGGACTTTTAGGTTGTTTCCACATCTTTGCTATTATAAATAATGTTGTGATTAACATTAAAGCTAATATCTTTTTCAAGATTCTGATTTTGATTCTCTGAGTAAATACCAGAAGCAGAATTGTTGGACCAAATGGTAGTTCTATTTTTAATATTTTGAGGAAACTTTACATGGTTTTTCCATAGTAATTACACCATTTTGCAGTCCCACCAACAGTGTAGGAGTGTTCTAATTTCACCACATCCTTGTCAATACTTGTCTTCCATTTTTTAGATAGTAGACATCTTAAGAAGTGTGCAGTGATATCGCATTGTCTCACTGTGGCTTTGATTTGCATTTCCCTGATAACTGGTGACATTGAGCATATTTTCATATACCTGGGAACCATTTGTATGTCTTCTTTGAAGAAATGTCTCTTCTCTTCAATTCTTTAGCCTATTTTTAAAGCATGTTAATCATTTTTTAATTGAATAGTATCAGTAACATGCATTTTTAAAATTAACCTTTTATCAGATATATAGTTTGCAAACATTTTCTCATATTCTATAAGTTGTCTTTTTACCCTGTTGACTGGATATCCAGTTTTCCCACCATTATTTGTTGAAGAGACTCTTCTTTCCACAATATGTCATTTTGGCACCCTTGTTAAAGATCATTTTATTATATATGCAAAGGTTTACGTATCTACGTGTCTGTCTTTATGCCAGTATCATACTGTTTTGATTTCTGTAGCTTTTTGTAATATGTTTTAAAGTCAGGAAGTATAAGCCGTCCAGCTTTGTTCTTCCTTTTTCAAGATTGTTTTGGCTATTCAGGGTGCTTTGTGGTTTCATACAAATTTTAAGAGTTTTTTTTTTTTTTTCTATATCTGCAATAAATGTCATTGAAATTTTGGTAGGGATCGCATTGAATTTGTAGATCATTTTGAATACATGGACATTTTAGTAATATTAAATCTTCTAATCCATGAACATGAAGTATCTTTCCATTTATATGTATCCTCTTAAATTTCTTTCATCAATGTCTTAGAGTTTTCAGTGTATGTCTTTCACCTTCTAGTTGCATTTACTCCTAAGTATTTTGTTTTGTTTGTATTCTACTGGAAATGGAATCATTTTCCTAATTTCTTTTTTGGATTGTTTATTTTAATGTATATAAATGAAACTGATTTTGGTTTTTGATTTTTTATCCTGCAACTTCATCAGTTTTTTAAAATAGTTTTAACTAATTTTTGTGGAACCTTTAGGGTTTTCTACATATAAGTTTATGTCATTTGCAAACAAAGATAATTTTACTTCCTTTCTGATTTGGCCTTTCATTTTTTTTCCTTGCTCTGGGTAGGAATTCCAGCATTATCTTTTATAGAAATGGTGAAGGTAGGTATTTTTGCTGTGTTCCTGATCTTACAGGAAAACTTTCCAGTTTTTTAATCATTGAGTATAATGCTACCTGTGGACTTTTCATATATGGGCTTTATTATGTTATTTTTCTGCTCTCATTTTTATTATTATAGTGTATTAGTTTATTCTTTTTTGTTACTCGAATAAAACTAGATTGTTTATTTGTAACCATTTTTCCTTTTTAATGTAGGCATTTACTGCTACAAATGTCCCCCTTAGTCTTGCTTTTGCAGCATCCCATAAATTTTGATATAGTGTATTTTCATTTCATTTGTCTAAAGATTTTTTTATTCCTTTTTCTTTCTTCATTGATTCCCGGGTTGTTCAACAGTGTGTTGCTTAATTTTCATATATTTGTGAATTTTCCAATTTTCCTTCTGTTATTAGTTTACGGTTTAATTCACTGTGGTCAGAAAAGATACTTGGTAGGAGTTTAATCTTCTGAAAGTCTTTGTTAAAAACTTTTCTTGTGACCTAACATGTGATCTATTCTAGAGAATGTTCTGTACATGCTTAAGATGAATATGTATTCTACTGCTGTTGAGTGAAATGTTCTGTATATGTCTGTTAGCCCCATTTGGTCTTTATTATAAAGTCCTCTATTTGTTTATTGATCTTCTGTGTGAATGTTCTATACATTATTGAAAGTGAAATCTGCTATTATTATTGTGTTGCTATCTATTTTTCTCTTATTGCTGTCAATGTTTGCTTTATGTATTTGGGTGATCTGATATTGAGTGTATATATATATATATATATATATATATATATACACACACACACACATATTTATATATTTATATTGTCATCTTCATGGTGAATTGAGACTTTTGTCATTAGGTAATGTCTTTTCTTGTCTCTTGTGATCATTTTTGACCTAAACTGTATTTTGTCTTATATAAACGTAGCCACCCCATTATCTTTTGCTTAATATTTTTAAGGATATATTTTTCCATTTTTTTCACTTTTAGCCTGTGTGTCCTTCAAAGTGACTCTCTTGTAGACAGCATATAGTTGGATATATATATTTTAAATTCATGCAGCCACTCTATATCTTTTGATTGGGGAGTTTAATCTATTTACATTTAAAGTAATTACGAATACAGAATACAGAAGGGCTTATTATTGCCATTTTAAAAATTATTTTGTCTGTCTTACAGCTATTCTGTCCTTTGATTCTCTTGCTATATTCCTTTGTGTTTTGTTTTTTGTTTTAATTTCTTTGTAGTGCCATGTTTTGATTCCTTTCTCATTTTCTTTTGTGTATCTTCTTTGTCTTATTTGAGTAGTTTTTGTGGTTGCTATGGGGCTTGCATAAAACATTTTGTAGTTATAACAATCTATTTTAAGCTGATAAGAACTTTATCTCAATCTCATACAAAAACTCTGCTTTTTTACCTCTTCACCCCAACACTTTATGCTATTGATACAATAAATTATGTATTTTCATATTGTACAATCACTAACATATTTTATAATTATAAATATTTTTATACTTTTGCCTTTTATCTTCTATACCAACATTAAAATTGATTTGTACACCACCATTATGGTATTACACTATTTTATAGCCTTCTATAAATTTACCTTTATTAGCAAGCTTCATACTTTCATATGCTTTTGTGTTGTTGTGTAGTATGCTAGCGTGCTTTTGTTTTAACTTAACGGATATTCTTTAGTAATTCTTACAAGGCAGGCATAGTGGTAAAAACCCCCCAACTTTTGTTTATCTGGAAAAGTCTTTATTTCATTTTCATTTTTAAAAGACAATTTTGCCAGACACAATATTCTTGACTGGCATTCTTTTTGAGCACTTTGAATATATTTTCCCACTCCATTATGGTCTGAAAGTTTTCTTCTAAGAAATCTGTTATTTGTCTTTCGGTTCACCCTAGTCAGAATCCTTTGGGCCTCTTGTATCTGGATGTTTACTTCCTTTTTCAGATTTGGGAAGTTTTTGGCCATTATTTTTTCAACTAAGCTTTCTGACACTTTCTCTCTGGCTTCTTCTGATGTTCCCAAAACGTGTGTATTGGTTTGCCTGATGGTCTCCCAGGAGTTTCATAGGCTTTCTTCACTCTCTACTATTGTTATTTTTCTCCTCTGGATAGTTTCAAATGACCTGCTTTTTAGTTAGTAGGTTCTTTATCCTGCTTGATGAAGTCTGTGGCCGAACCCCTCTAATTAATATTTCATGTCAGTTGTTGTACTCTCAAGCTCCCAAATTTCTGTTTGGTTTATGTTTTCTGTTTCTTTGTTGATGTTCTTATTTTGTTCATGCATAATTTTCCTGACTTCATTGACCACATTTATGATGATTATTTTGAATTCTTTGTCAACCAATTTATATACCTCAATTTATTTAGGACAAGTTTCTAGAGATTTATTTTGTTTCTTTCATTCAGCCATGTTTTCCTGTTTCTTAATGTGCATTGTAACGTTGTGCTGGAATCCACATATTTGGAAAATGTCAACAGTTCCAGTCTATGGAATGGCTTAGGACAGAGATAGACCTTCACTAGTCAAGCAGGCTAGAAATTCTTGGGGCCTCTCAAACCTTTCCTATAGATGCAAATCCTTCCTGGACGTGTGTGTATAAGTTCCCAATTATACAGAATTGCTAATTTCCTTTTACAAGCATTTATAATTTTTTCCTCCTTCTGATGTCTGCTGTGGTACTCCGGTTCTCTTGTTCTCAGAGGCTCTCAGGCTTTTAAAGTATATTGGCCCAGAGAGAAATTTGTTCCTTAGGCAACCCCTTGAAAAGTCAGAATGTGGAACACACATACCATTCTTATCTCCCCCAACCACCCCCACCAAAGGGGAAGCTGTTGAACTGTGTTGGCCTCCATCTACTGTACCATGAATCATCTGTTACGGCAGTGCGCCACCCAGCTTTCTTTCATTCTCAATGACTCCTAGGCATCTAAAGTATGCTGGGTGCCCTCAGTGCACTGGAACAGATAAGACATAAACCAGCTTCTCAGGCAAACCCCCCAAAGCCCAAATGTTGGATGCACACTACTTCAACACTTTCCCTCCTTGGAGTCAAGTCAGAGTTGGAGTTTTCTTCCACTTGTTCCACGCTTAGATGGGGAGAGGAGCTATAGCAAGTGAGTGTGTGCTTGCCCAAACCTCTGCCTTTGTTCTTAGCAACCCTCAACCTGGTGCCCCTTTTTGTCAGTGTTTAGACTGAGACAGACAAAACCAGTCCCTTGGTCCAGATCCCCCAAAAGTCTGCACATTAAATGTATGTTTCAGTATTCTCTTTTCCTCACTGAGAAGCTGGGAGCTGAGAGTTTTCTCTCAGTTGTGCCATGATGAACCAAGTGGAGGGACTATGATGAATGAGTGCCACAAGTTTTCCTACAAGCTTTGATGCATCTGGTTTCATGCTCACATGAGGTACAAGAATCTCTTGTTTTCTGGGTTTATCACAAAGGAAACTGGTTCCTGTGTTGTCATTGATTCAGTGTCTCCATGGGGGAAGGAGGTTCTGGGGCTTCCTATTCCTCATCTTACTGACACCCAGGATTGAGCATCTTTTAATATGTTTATTCAGCCTTAATATTCCTACTTCTGCAAAATGTTTATTTTTTTCAAACTGATTTAGCATTTTGGAACCTCCATTTTCTCATTTATTAAATGTAGGTAAACCTTTTATTTTCCTTATGAGAAGTTTTTATTACCAAACTGTACTTTAAAACAGCAGCTCCTGAATACCAGTTCTTGGACGAATGTTTAGTTAGCAGAGCCAAAACTGAGCGAAAGTAGCAAAAGGGAAGGTGATAAAATTCAAATCAGCCAGCCCTCTCACCCAAATGCCCATCCAGCGGGTCTGGGGTAGAAGTGAAGACTAAGATGACAATAATTTATCTACATTTCAAAGCTCCCTATATGATTTTGTTACAGCCAGCAAAGTTTGAGCTTCACAGCTCTATATGGGTGCAAATTGTATTTGAGGTTACTACCAGTACTATTAAGAATAAAGAATTAACTTCAGTGCCTCTGGAAACCAGTGTGGAGGGGCTATTCAAGATTTTTTCTAAGGACCTTACGTATTTCTGCACAGGTGATATTAAAAATTCAAATAAAAAATATTTAATGAATTTGTAGGATCAATGAATATATATTAAAATGTGAACACAACTGCCTGAGATTAGCTCTGTAAGTGATATCACTGGAATTTAGCAATTTGTTCACTCTTTCAATTAAACAATACTTTCTGAATGCCAAGATGTATGAGGCATTCTTTTAGCCTCTTGTTGGGATGCAAGTCTTGAAAGGCATGCATCTAGCCTTCCAATTAATGAAGGCACGAATCTAGTTAATTAAGGAAGATAATATGTGTGCCGAACAAAAAGTCATACAAAGTAGAAATAAGCATCATTACAAAGGTTGAGTAAAGAGCTGTGGGAGTCTAGAGAAAGGCAAGATTGCTTCTGGCTGGTAGATTTGGCAAAGTTTCCTATAGGAGATGGCATTGAAGACAAAGTTTCCTGTAGGATATGGAAGGGTTTTGAATAGTGAGGAATTTAGACAGAGATAGAGGCTCAGAGTACATTCCAGGAGTGAACATTAGCAAAGACGCATAGGTAGCAAGGAAACAAGAGGACAGATCTCTCCACAGACACGCCTGACTTGAGATAAGCAGAATAAATACCATGATTAGGTATTGCAAGATAGCATGAAATTGATTGAGGGTGTGTGTCAGTGTACTGGCAGGAAATAGATGGTCTTTCAAATCTGGGACTGAGGAGAGTTTAATAAAGCCACCATTTATGAAGACTCATGAGAGGGGAAGCCAGCTGGGCTTCTGGGTGGGGTGGGGACTTGGAGAACTTTTCTGTCTAGCTAAAGCATTGTAAATGCACCAATCAGTGCTCTGTGTCTAGCTAAAGGATTGTAAATGCACCAATCAGCACTCTGTAAATTGGACCAATCAGCAGGATGTGGGCAGGGCCAAATAATAAAAGCTGGCCACCCGAGCCAGCAGCGGCAACCCGCTGGGGTCCCCTTCCAGGCTGTGGAAACTTTGTTCTTTCCCTCTTCACAATAAATCTTGCTGCTGCTCATTCTTTGGGTCCACACTACCTTTATGAGCTATAACACTCACTGCGAGGGTCTGCAGCTTCATTCCTGAAGTCAGCGAGACCACGAACCCACTGGGAGGAACAAACAACCCGGACGCACCACCTTTAAGAGTTGTAACACTCACTGTGAAGGTCTGCGGCTTCACTCCTGAAGTCAGTGAGACCACGGACCCACCAGAAGGAGGAAACTCCAGACACGTCAGAACATCTGAAGGAACAAACTCCGGACACACCATCTTTAAGAACTGTAACACTCACCGCGAGGGTCCGTGGCTTCATTCTTGAAGTCAGCGAGACCAAGAACCCACCGGAAGGAATAAATTACAGACACACTTGGACAGGAGATAGGACCAGCATTCAGGGGCTCGTAACACCTGGGAGTCATCATCACCACCCCTGGGACTAAAGGGGCATGAGGGGACAATTATTTTCCCAACCCCGAGAGAGAAAACGAAATGAGAGAGCACTTCAAAGAGACATGCAGAAAATCTGAGGTGCCCCTGTAGGAACCCAGATGGTAAATAAATACTCAAATCTCATTCTCTTTCCTCACCCAATCTCCTGCCAGTGCTTTGTTTTGGCTGAAGCCAGAGGACATGTGCACACTGATGCAGCCCATCCTTAGGGATAGATGGTCACATGCTAAGTGAAATAACCAAACTGAATGAACAGGCCCCTATTTCTTATCTCATTATAAGACTATGCCTATTTTCTCCAAAACACCTCACAACAATCCCCTCACTATATCATGCATTTTTGTGTTTTCCTCTTAAATTACTTTTCAATTGTAAATATTGTTATTACAAATAATAATCATGACTTAGATTAACTTGTGCATTATTGGATACTTTGTGTATACTTGTGGCCTACTCTTCAGTTGTTTGAAATCTCATAGCATTTCCTAATGACAAGAAAGGGGAGGTAATTATAGCTTACCACTCAACATCATGAACATGAAGCTTTTTAAATTATGGGATCATTATATGCACATGACAATGAACAGCATGCCCTCTGTAAAGAGGAGGAAAACCACAAAACATCTTTTGGGAATCAGTCATAAAGGAGAATCATCAAATTAACTAGGATATGAAAGATTTCTGATGGCGTAGACGGATGCAGACTCCACTTTTGCCATTTACAGAACTGCTTTTTTTAGGGCAAGTCATTTACTTTGCACGAGACTTTTGGTGGCTGTGGTTTTTGTTATCTCAGCTCCTTTTCTACCTCATTTGGATGATAGATTTTACTAACCAAATCACAGAGCTAGGACCATGATCCAGGCTGAGCCAATCATATCATGTGCCATTCTACAGCCATAATGACCTTTGAACCTAGGTATTTTCCATGAAAAAGGAGGCAAGGAAAAGCATACTTATCACCCTCCTTTGGCTATAATAAATGTTACTGCGGAGCTCCTGAGATGGTTATCTTCCTGAATCTCATCGTCAAATTCTATGAACCACCTGAGTCTTCTTCCTGTAAATTGTTTTTACCTAACCTGTTTTGAGTTGAGTTCCTGTTACTTTCAACTGAAAGACTCGCCTAATACCAAGCAAATACTGTCAGGTCCATGCCAGTCTTTGGCTTTTGTACTTGCTGTTCTTTCTGCTTAAAATGTTCCTCAGAAACTTCATGCTACCTCTCTCATTTCTTTCAGGTTTGAACTCAAATATCGACTTCTCAGTGAGGTCTCCCCTGGGATTTCCTCTAAACCACCCTCAGAGCCCTTTACCACCTTCCCTTATCAATATCTAATATCTCATATATTTCATTCAATGGTCCTATACATCGTCTCTCTCCTCAACTAAAATGTAGGTAGGAGATTTTTACTTCTTTGTCCATTGCATAATTGGCATATCTAGAAAATGCATAGACATAGATAGATTGATAAATATTTGCTAAATAAGTGGGCAAATGAATATTAAACACATTCTGTGTGCCAGACACTGCACTCAGAGCTTAACACGTGGACTTTCATATAGCTCATAGGTATTTTTTGCATTTCTTGGTAATGATGAAATCATGGAAGTGATACATCTTATTAGTGTTCTCTTTATGAAGACTGTTACCTCCATGAGGGGAGGGGTTAGGCCTGCCTTTTTCTACACGGATCTCCATTGCCTAGTGAAGTAACTGGAACTTGGAACCTATATCTTGGATATGGAAACATGAAATGGACTCTATATCTTAAACATAGCCATGCTCCCCTTTTAGTCATGGCTTTGTTATAACCTAATAAATATGACAACCAATGTATCTGCCAAAGTTTCCCTACTGGGGTTGGGTATTGGACAGCTTTGAGCAAAACAAGTCACTTATTCTTAGCCATCGCATTGGACTGACTCCTCTTTCTGCCTGTCTTGTTCTTATTTCCTTTCTCCTCTATTCTTAAATTATATTATTGTGTCCTTGTAAGCCACCTTGAATCCTTTCTGGAACAAGGCAGAGAATAAATTAATTAATTCACAGATTCATTTAATTCTCACAGCAACTCAGTGAGGTAGGTATTAGTTCCCTCATTACATGGAAGAGGAAACTGAGCCTTAGAGATATTAAGCAATTTGTCCAAGGTCACATAACTGATAAATGTCAGAGTCGGGATTTAGATCCAAGAGAATCGGTCTCCATAGCTGGTACTCCCCCACTCTCCTCATGATCTGCAATGTCTCAGGGATGCTTTGAGCTGAGGACTAGTGGAAATGATATTGGACAAAATGACAGCAGTCTGGGGCAACTCCAGGCTTTTCTGTTTTTAGGCCACTGGGACCTTGGAGTAAAACCTGTCTTCTGAGTCTGTTTCCCCACTATTCAACGGGAGTGGTAATACATCTCCCTTCTGTACTCTGAGTTCCATCGAGGCTCCTCCACTGAGGAATGGGCCTGGTCTGAGACACAGTGGTCAAAGGTCCAGAATAAGGATCCAATTCAGAACTGGCAAGCCATGGCCAAAGGACAGCACGTTCATATCCACTATCATCTAATATTAACAACAAATGAAGCTGGATGTGCTCAGGATCCTTGTTTGACATGACTCTAGCTTACTTCCTGTACCAACAGCATAAAAAGACCAGTATCTCATAAAGTTAGAGACTTTGGGCATAATAGAGAGAAAAGGGGCTCTGAACTTAGACACACTTTGGATAAAACCCTAACCTGTCTGCTGTGCCCTGAGGTTAAGGTTGAACTACTTAACCTCTCTAAATTTTACCTCTTCTATAAATTAAGAAGTACAGGAAAACCAGTCTCAACATTGACTATCACATTTTGAATGCATTTGAAAGTGATGACTGTTAAGAATGGCCCAGCTTTTTTGGCCATTGGCTTTTTCTCCCTGAATTGCTTTTGCAAGTGTTATCTTATTCTTAAGATCCCTTCAAAGTTGGCCATGTTTTTACAGAAGCGAATATTCTTCAGGATGCTTAATTTCAAAATGGTGTTCCAAATATTTTCCCCTAAAACATGCATCTCTGTGAGAGAGCTTATATGGAACTAGGGCCAAGGCTCACATCTTCTATTTCATTTATTCATTCATGCATTCATTCCACAAACATTCTTCTGCTCTGTGCCAATCACTATGCCTGACATGAATAAAGTTTTGCTCTAGAGCAGTCACATTCCTATGGGGAACAAAGACAGATAAGAAACTGTGTGACTTGTGGCATAATGAAGGGATAGAGAAGGTCTTACAGGAGCACAGAGAAGACCCAGCTGTAGATACATCACCCGAGGCATCCTCAACATCACAGTGCCTTCATGCATGGGCCTTGTTCTGGCTTTCGGACTCTAGAGAGCATTTGGTGTCTGTGTAGGGGGAAGGCCTCTTGATCTCCAGCATGAGCTTGGATTCTGGGCTCCTGTCTTCTGGAAGGTTCTGCTTATGGACTTTCCCATTCCCTTGTAAAAACCCTCTGAACCAAGCCATGTAATCCATCAGGGCTTGGTGCCTTGTCATTTTTAATGGCACTAATTGTCTTGTTATCTACTTCTTTGCAATAGTAAAGCCTCTTAATATTTCATTTTCCCTCCAGAGGGAAAGAAAACCCTTTTTTTCACAGAGTCATTACACTCTGTCTCATTTGCATTAAAAAAGGAAATATAGAAGTTGTCGCATTCCATGGAGGTCCTCAATATACCTGCTATATATTCTGTGCATCAGTTACTAGTACTCCAGTACCGGATTACCAAAGTCCCAGGGATGCTCTAGTCCAACACCTCAACTTTGACATAAGAAATCTAAGATCTACAGAAGAGAGAGTCAGTTAGTTGGAATCTCCTGACTTCTGCCTCCCACCCTACTAGAGTACTTTCTTGGAAACCTCCAGGCTCAGCACAACTACTCTCTCCAGTCAATATGTCTGCTGTGATCAACGGTTCCTATCTTGCCGAATTCACTCTTTTCTTGGTAATTCTTGCTAAGCGTGTAGGGGATGCTAGGCATTATGATAACTGCTTTAAATCATTTCCCTTTAGATCACAAAGGTACCTTTGGGGCTTATTGGGACAATGCAATTTAATGGACTAATTTAAAGGAAACACACTGAAAAGCGCAGTGATATCTCTTTGGATGAACGAATAAATTTGGTCATTCAAGAGAAGGCAGCACATCATTTGCAGAACAGAGATACCATGGAGCCTACAACTCTCCTCACTCCCTTCTCAGTCTTAGATTTACCAGACCAAATGCCACAGGGAAACCCCATGTTTCATTTTTCCACCAAAAGGAGCATGATCTGCACATGTGACCAAATCAGAAGACAAATGTGTAGATACTTGCCTTACCCTAATATCAAACTTGTTTTGAAGTGTGGGTGATATAACTTTTACTCCTCTCTATCCTAACTTGTAAGTATACCTACCTAAAAAAGGTATATGGTATACCTGGGCCTACACAGAAGCTAAGAAGGACAGTGAGGATTCCACGCCAGGCATTTAGCTTATTTTCTATCACTATATCATGCAGAAAAAGAAAGAAGAGGACCTAGCAGGATGCCAGTGTCCTTGTTTTGATAATTCATTTAATCTTTCTGATATTATCCCTCTAAACTTCAGATTCCTCATCTATTAAAAAAAATGAAGAAGGATAATATCTTCTCTGCTTACTTTACACTAAAAATAAAATCAGAGACTAAATGGAAAAAATAACTTGTATATTTTTAAAAATAACTTTTCTCTCTTAATTCTAAGTGAACATTCACTTATTTTTTCATTAGAAAAGAAAGGCAGGATATAATATTTTAAATCAAACATTGAGCCTCAAAATGCTTACAGCTGGCACTTTGGGAACAAATTAGAGCCCAGAAGCAAAGATAAATGGAAAGCATTTACAAGCTATATGATCTGGAAAATGGGAAGAGAGTCGATTTTTGAAAAGACAGGAAGAAACAATTGACTGAATAATTAGAAAACAGAAATGATACATTAACAGTCTTAGCACACCACAGAGAATAGGGACATGGACAGATTCATTAGAGGGCTGTTTTTTCTTTTAGCACAGCCTCAGTGGCTTTAACACAGACAGATGTGAAGGGGAAAGGTCAGACTGTTAAGAAAGGCAGCAGAGCTACTGAAGAGGAAGAATACAAACAAAAACAAAATTACACTGTTTTACATTGCAAATTCATAGTCACAGGATTCCAGATGCAGGATCCAACTGATTGTAACAGAATGGACTTGCTGGGAAGGAAAAAGACTAAAAAGAGTGAAAATGAAAGCAGGAGGTTTAATGATTAAAAGCATAGATTTTGTTGCAGGACTGCCTGGGTTTGAGTATGAGCTTTACTAACTGTGTGACCTTCAATAGGTGACATAATTTCTCTGGCCTCAGTTTTTTCCTCTCTAAATTGAGAATAATTACAGTATCTTTCTTATTGAGTGGTTATAGAAAATAACTGAGTAAATACAGTTAAATACAGACTGATAATGACAAAACAGAAATAATACATTAACAGTCTCAGCATACCACAGCGACTGGTTGATTCATCAGAGAGTTACTTTTCAACACAGCCTCAGTGGACAGATGAGAAGGGAAGAGTTAGACTGTTAAGAAAGACAGCAGGGCTACTGAATAGTAAAATCATTAACAGAAACCAACTTACATTATTTTGCATTGCAAATTCAGTCATATGATTGCAAGTAAATTGCTTAGAACAATGCCTGATACTTCTTCGAAACAGGTGTGTTAATTCTTATTGTCCATATATGAAAGAAATTTAAAGGTATTAAAAGCCCTGTCAAACACGAGATGGTGAGGAAAAAAAAACCCCTCAGATTAGTAATTTCTGATATATGGCAGCATCACTGATGAAGCCACACAGAGCTCCTAGCTATCAACAGGTGATCAAGGAAGAAATTTCAGATACAGCAAAGATGAGAAAAACAGGAAGACAGATAATGCTAGAGAAAAAAGAAAAAGTTACCTGAAAAATATTTAGTAAAAATTTGCACCTGGCAGATTATTTTGTTTCCTAAACCCGGCTGGATATCACTTTCTAAAGGAAATATTATGTTAAAAAAGAAAGGAAAAAAAAGAAAGGATGGAAGGAGGGAAGGAGGGAAGGGAGGAAGGGAGGAAGGGAGGGAAGGAGGGGAAGGGAGAGAGAAAGGAAAGGAAGGAAGGAAGAGAAAAGAGAAAAAAGAGGAGGTGAAAGTGATAATGAAGCTATAACATGAGACTGCCTGGTTTTATATCCTTGGCTATGTCATTTACAGGCTGTGAGGCCTTAGATGAGTTACTTAATCTTTCTGAGTCTACTCTTCCATAAAATGGAGATGATAACAAATAGCTTATAGGATTTTGTGAGGAGTCAATGAAATTACTTAAGGCCATTTAGAACACTGCCAAGCACTTGTTAACACACAGCAACTGTCCAGTAGATATTATTCCTGAACGCTGAAATATGCCAAGTATTGTTCCTGGTATTGTACAGGTAAAATGTTAAAAACCTCAGAACAACCCACTGAAGAGAGCAGACCTCAAGGGTATTAGTCATCTCCTCAGCACCTGTCAGCTAATGAGTAGCAAAGCTAGGATTCTAATCCAGCCGTTTCTGGATCCCATGTCCCATGCTCCACTGCCTCCCAAATGAGTCACCGAGTGTAAATCACATCCATTACACCGCATAGCACATCACGTAACACCCCAAAAACTTGTGTATGCATTAAAGACATGTAGTATTTTACGTAAACCCAAGTTTTT